>NC_000010.11:55900671-56052186 GCF_000001405.40 Homo sapiens
GAGAGAAGAAGGCTTCAGATGATCAAATTACTCCGAGCTATGGGAGGAAATTCAAACCAAAGGCAAAGAAGTTGATAACTTTGAAAAAAGTTTAGAAGAATGTATAACTAGAATAACCAATACAGAGAAGTGCTTAAAGGAGCTGATGGAGCTGAAAACCAAGGCTCAAGAACTACATGAAGAATGCAGAAGCCTCAGAAGCTGATGCGATCAACTGGAAGAAACAGTATCAGCGATGGAAGATGAAGTGAATGAAATGAAGCGAGAAGGGAAGTTTAGAGAAAAAAGAATAAAAAGAAACGAGCAAAGCCTCCAAGAAATATGGGACTATGTGAAAAGACCAAATCTACGTCTGATTGGTGTACCTGAAAGTGATGGGGAGAATGGAACCAAGTTGGAAAACACTCTGCAGGATATTATCCAGGAGAACTTCCCCAATCTAGCAAGGCAGGCCAACGTTCAGATTCAGGAAATACAGAGAAAGCCACAAAGATACTCCTTGAGAAGAGCAACTCCAAGACACATAATTGTCAGATTCACAAAAGTTGAAATGAAGGAAAAAATGTTAAGGGCTGCCAGAGAGAAAGGTCGGGTTACCCACAAAGGAAGCCCATCAGACTAAAAGCGGATCTCTCGGCAGAAACTCTACAAGCCAGAAGAGAGTGGGGGCCAATATTCAACATTCTTAAAGAAAAGAATTTTCAACCCAGAATTTCATATCCAGCCAAACTAAGCTTCATAAGTGAAGGAGAAATAAAATACTTTACAGACAAGCAAATGCTGAGAGATTTTCTCACCAGCAGGCCTGCCCTAAAAGAGCTCCTGAAGGAAGCGCTAAACATGGAAAGGAACAACCAGTACCAGCCGCTGCAAAATCATTCCAAAATGTAAAGACCATCGAGACTAGGAAGAAACTGCATCAACTAACGAGCAAAATGACCAGCTAACATCATAATGACACATCAAATTCACACATAACAATATTAACTTTAAATGTAAATGGACTAAATGCTCCAATTAAAAGACACAGACTGGCAAATTGGATAAAGAGTCAAGACCCATCAGTGTGCTGTATTCAGGAAACCCATCTCACGGGCAGAGACACACATAGGCTCAAAATAAAAGGATGGAGGAAGATCTACCAAGCAAATGGAAAACAAAAAAAGGCAGGGGTTGCAATCCTAGTTTCTGATAAAACAGACTTTAAACCAACAAAGATCAAAAGAGACAAAGAAGGCCATTACATAATGGTAAAGGGATCAATTCAACAAGAAGAGCTAACTATCCTAAATATATATGCACCCAATACAGGAGCACCCAGATTCATAAAGCAAGTCCTCAGTGACCTACAAAGAGACTTAGACTCCCACACATTAATAATGGGAGACTTTAACACCCCACTGTCAACATTAGACAGATCAACAAGACAGAAAGTGCACAAGGATACCCAGCAATTGAACTCAGCTCTGCACCAAGCAGACCTAATAGACATCTACAGAACTCTCCACCCCAAATCAACAGAATATACATTTTTTTCAGCACCACACCACACCTATTCCAAAATGGACCACATACTTGGAAGTAAAGCTCTCCTCAGCAAATGTAAAAGAACAGAAATTATAACAAACTATCTCTCAGACCACAGTGCAATCAAACTAGAACTTAGGATTAAGAATCTCACTCAAAACCACTCAACTACATGGAAACTGAACAAACTGCTCCTGAATGACTACTGGGTGCATAACGAAATGAAGGCAGAAATAAAGATGTTCTTTGAAACCAACGAGAACAAAGACACAAAATACCAGAATCTCTGGGACACATTCAAAGCAGTGTGTGAGGGAAATTTATAGCACTAAATGCCCAAAAGAGAAAGCAGGAAAGATCCAAAATTGACACCCTAACATCACAATTAAAAGAACTAGAAAAGCAAGAGCAAACATATTCAAGAGCTAGCAGAAGGCAAGAAATAACTAAAATCAGAGCAGAACTGAAGGAAATAGAGACACAAAAAACCTTTCAAAAAATTAATGAATCCAGGAGCTGGTTTTTTGAAAGGATCAACAAAATTGATAGACCGCTAGCAAGACTAACAAAGAAAAAAAGAGAGAAGAATCAAATAGAAACAATAAAAAATGATAAAGGGGATATCACCACTGATCCCACAGAAATACAAACTACTATCAGAGAATACTACAAACAACTCTATGCAAATAAACTAGAAAATCTAGAAGAAATGGATAAATTCCTCGACACATACACTCTCCCAAGACTAAACCAGGAAGAAGTTGAATCTCTGAATAGACCAATAACAGGAGCTGAAATTGTGGCAATAATCAATAGCTTACCAACAAAAAAGAGTCCAGGACCAGATGGATTCACAGCCGAATTCTACCAGAAGTACAAGGAGGAACTGGTACCATTCCTTCTGAAGCTATTCCAATCAATAGAAAAAGAGGGAATCATCCTTAACTCATTTTATGAGGCCAGCATCATCCTCATAAATGTTGTATCATCCTGATACAAAAGCCGGGCAGAAACACAACCAAAAAAGAGAATTTTAGACCAATATCCTTGATGAACATTGATGCAAAACTCCTCAATAAAATACTGGCAAACCAAATCCAGCAGCACATCAAAAAGCTTATGCACCATGATCAAGTGGCCTTCATCCCTGGGATGCAAGGCTGGTTCAATATATGCAAATCAATAAATGTAAGCCAGCACAGAAACAGAACCAAAGACAAAAACAACATGATTGTCTCAATAGATGCAGAAAAGGCCTTTGACAAAATTCAACAGCCCTTCATGATAAAAACTCTCAATAAATTAGGTATTGATGGGACATATCTCAAAATAATAAGAGCTACCTATGACAAACCCACAGCCAATATCACACTGAATGTGCAAAAACTGGAAGCATTCCCTTTGAAAACTGGCACAAGACAGGGATGCCCTCTCTCACCACTCCTATTCAACATAGTGTTGGAAGTTCTGGCCAGGGCAATTAGGCAGGAGAAGGAAATAAAGGGTATTCAATTAGGAAAAGAGGAAGTCAAATTGTCCCTGTTTGCAGATGACATGATTGTATATCTAGAAAACCCCATCGTCTCAGCCCAAAATCTCCTTAAGCTGATAAGCAACTTCAGCAAAGTCTCAGGATACAAAATCAATGTACAAAAATCACAAGCATTCTTATACCCCAACAACAGACAAACAGAGAGCCAAATCATGAGTGAACTCCCATTCACAATTGCTTCAAAGAGAATAAAATACCTAGGAATCCAACTTACAAGGGATGTGAAGGAACTCTTCAAGGAGAACTACAAAACACTGCTCAAGGAAATAAAAGAGGATACGAACAAATGGAAGAACATTCCATGCTCATGGGTAGGAAGAATCAATATCATGAAAATGGCCATACTGCCCAGGGTAATTTACAGATTCAATGCCATCCCCATCAAGCTACCAATGACTTTCTTCACAGAATTGGAAAAAACTACTTTAAAGGTCATATGGAACCAAAACAGAGCCCACATCGCCAAGTCAATCCTAAGCCAAAAGAACAAAGCTGGAGGCATCACACTACCTGACTTCAAACTATACTACAAGCCTACAGTAACCAAAACAGCATGGTACTGGTACCAAAACAGAGATATAGATCAATGGAACAGAACAGAGCCCTCAGAAATAACACCACATATCTACAACTATCTGATCTTTGACAAACCTGAGAAAAACAAGCAATGGGGAAAGGATTCCCTATTTAATAAATGTTGCTGGGAAAACTGGCTAGCCATATGTAGAAAGCTGAAACTGGATCCCTTCCTTACACCTTATACAAAAATCAATTCAAGATGGATTAAAGACTTAAACATTAGACCTAAAACCATAAAAACCCTAGAAAAAACCTAGGCATTACCATTCAGGACATAGGCATGGGCAAGGACTTCATGTCTAAAACACCAAAAGCAATGGCAACAAAAGACAAAATTGACAAATGGGATCTAATTAAACTAAAGAGCTTCTGCACAGCAAAAGAAACTACCATCAGAGTGAACAGGCAACCTACAAAATGGGAGAAAATTTTCGCAACCTACTCATCTGACAAAGGGCTAATATCCAGAATCTACAATGAACTCAAACAAATTTACAAGAAAAAAACAAACAACCCCATCAAAAAGTGGGCGAAGGACATGAACAGACACTTCTCAAAAGAAGACATTTATGCAGCCAAAAAACACATGAAAAAATGCTCATCATCACTGCCCATCAGATAAATGCAAATCAAAACCACAATGAGATACCATCTCACACCAGTTAGAATGGCAATCATTAAAAAGTCAGGAAACAACAGGTGCTGGAAAGGATGTGGAGAAATAGGAACACTCTTACACTGCTGGTGGGACTGTAAACTAGTTCAACCATTGTGGAAGTCAGTGTGGCGATTCCTCAGGGATCTAGAACTGGAAATACCATTTGACCCAGCCATCCCATTACTGGGTATATACCCAAAGGATTATAAATCATGCTGCTATAAAGACACATGCACATGTATGTTTATTGTGGCACTATTCACAATAGCAAAGACTTGGAACCAACCCAAATGTCCAACAACAATAGACTGGATTAAGAAAATGTGGCACATATACACCATGGAATACTATGCAGCCATAAAAATGATGAGTTCATGTCCTTTGTAGGGACATGGATGAAATTGGAAATCATCATTCTCCATAAACTATCGCAAGAACAAAAAACCAAAGACCGCATATTCTCACTCATAGGTGGGAATTGAACAATGAGAACACATGGACACAGGAAGGGGAACATCACACTCTGGGGACTGTTGTGGGGTGGGGGGAGGTGGGGGGGATAGCATTGGGAGATACACCTAATGCTAGATGACGAGTTAGTGGGTGCAGTGCACCAGCATGGCACATGTATACATACGTAACTAACCTGCACATTGTGCACATGTACCCTAAAACTTAAAGTATAATAATAATAAATTAAAAAAAAAAAAAAGAAAAGAAATACCTTCTTGCCCAGATACCTCACCTGGTAGTTCTTACATCTTCTTGGCTGTAATTGCATTACATGCTCTCACAATTTCAATGAAATTTGTAAAGCAGAGCATTTTAAATTGGGTACATTGCCACTCTGAAAAAAAATCCTTTTTAGATTTCAGTTTAGAGGAAAAAGGGTGAATAAATATTAAGGTATCCCTAGGGTATTTTTCATTTTGTTGATGTTGAGGTCATACTTCTAGCTTTGTACCTTATCACAGTCAATATCCCCTTTTCTTAATACTTACTTTTTAATGCCTTTTCTATTATTCTGAAATAAAGTTCTGGAAGAATTTTATATGTTACACATATAACATAAAGATAAATTGGTATAATGGACAAAATCAACTCTAACCATAATCCTAAGGAGAAATAAGAGTAACTATTATATTAGAAGTCATAATATATTGGTAAATGATTATCTCTATATATGGAATTGTACCAAAGCAAAAGTTATACTAGCAATAAAAGTTGGTTACCCTCCATAGGCAACTGTATAGTCCATTTTTACATTGCTATAAAAAAATACCTGAGATTGGGTAATTTATAAAGAAAAGAAGTTTCATTGACTCTCAGTTTCACATGGCTGGGAAGGCCTCAAGAAACTTATAATCATGGCAGAAGTGGAAGGGGAAATAACACAAATGTTGCATGGTGGCAGGAGAGACAGTGATAGGGGAATGCCAGACACATTTAAACCGTCAGATCTTATGAGAACTCACTCACTATCATGAGAACAGCATGTGGGAACTGCCCCCATCAAGCAATTACCCCTACCAAGTCTCTCCATTGACACATGGGGATTACAATTTGAGATGAGATTTGGGTTGGAACACAGAGTCAAATTATGTCATTCTGACTCCTCCCCCTCCCAAATCTCATGTTCTTCTCACATTTCAAAATGCAATTATGCCTTCCCAACAGTCCCCCCAAATCTTAACTCATTCCAGCATTAACTCAAAAGTCCAAGTCCAAAGTCTTATCTGAGACAAGGTATGTCCTTATCACCTATAAGTCTGTAAAATAAAATAATAAAACAAGTTAGTTACTTCCAACATACAATGGGGGTACAGGCATTGGGTAATGTTCTTGTTCCATATATGAGAAATTGGCCAAAACAAAGAGGTCACAGGCCCCAAGGAAGTCTGAAAATTGGCAGGGCATTCATTAAATCTTAAAGCTTCAAAACAGTCTCCTTTGACTCCATGTCTCATATCTAGGGTATGCTGATGCAACGGGTGAGCTCCCATGGCCTTGAGCAGCTCTACCCTTATGGCTCTGCAGGGTACAGCCCCCAGAGCTACTTTCCTGAGCTGGTTTTTCAGGTGCACAGTGCAAGCTGTCAGTGGATTTACCATTCTGGGGTATGGAGGATGATGGCCGTCTTCTCACAGCTCCACTGGGCAGTGCCCCAGGGGGTTTCTGTGGTGGGGCTCCAACACCACATTTCTGCTCTGCATTGCTATTATAGAGGTTCTTCATGAGGGCTCTGCCCCTGCAGCAGACTTCTGCCTGGGCATCCAGATGTTTCTATATATCCCCTGAAATCTAGGCAGAAGTTCCCAAAGCTCAACCCACAGGCCCAACACCACATGGAATCCACCAAGTCTTGGGGCTTGCGTTCTCTGAAGCAACAGTCTGATCTGTACCTTGGCTCCTTTTAGCCACAGGTGGACCTGGAGAAGCTGGGATACAAGGAGCCATGTCCCAAGGCTGCACAGAGCAGCAAGGCCCTGGGCCCAGCCCACAGAACCATTTTTGCCTCCTAGGCCACCAGGTCTGTGATGGAAGGGGATAACTTGAAGATCTCTGAAATGCCCTGGAGATGTTTTCCCCATTGTTTTGATGATAAACATTGGGCCCCTTGTTATTTATGCAAATTTCTGAGCAGGCTTGAATTTCTCCCCAGAAAATGTGTTTTTCTTCTCTACCACATGGTCAGGCAGCAAATGCTTTAAATTTTTATGCTCTGCTTCCCTTGTAAACACAACTTCCAAATTCAGATAATCTCTGTGAATACATATGATCATATGCTTTTAGAAAGTTAGGCCACATCTTGAAGGCTTTGCTGCATAGAAATTTCTTCTGCCAGATACTCTAAACCATCTCTCTCAAGTTCAAAGTTCCACAGACCTCTAGGGCAGAGAAAAAATGCAGCCCGTCACTTCGCTAAAGCATAGCATGAGTGACCTTTGCTCCAGTTCCCAATAAATTATTTATCTCCATCTGAGACCACCTCAACCTGGATTTCACTGTTCATATCACTATCAGCATTTTGATCAAAATCATTCAACAAGTCCTTAAGAAGTTCCACACTTTCCCACATCTTCTTGCCTTTTTTTGAGGCTTCCTGTTTGAATCTGCCTGTTACCCAGTTCCAAAGTTGATTCCACATTTTCAGGTTATTTTTAAAGCAGTGCTGGACTCCTGGTACCAATTTTCTTATCAGTCCATTTTTACACTGCTATAAAGAATACCTTGGACTGGGTAACTTATAAAGAAAAGAGGTTTCATTGACTCGTAGTTCCTCATGGCTGGGATGGCCTCAGGAAACTTACAATTATGGCAGAAGATGAAGGGGAAATAAGACATGTTTTACACAGTGGCAGGAGAGAGAGAGAGAGAGAGAGAGAGAGAGAGAGATAAGTATCAGATCTCCTTAGAAGTCACTCACTATCATGAGAACAGCATTGGAGGAACCCTCCCAATGATCCAATTATCTCCTACCAGGTCACTCCCTTGACACGTGGGGATTACAATTTGAGATGAGATTTGACTGGAGGCACAGAGACAAACCATATCAGCCACTAAATATGATAAGAGGCATTGCTATTAGTGTGATTTTCTGAAATTAGACAATAAAGTTTAGTAAAAACTTCAAGAAAATAAATGGTTATTTTTCTCTTGATTTATACTGAAGTCAAATTCTTGTGGGGAAAAATTATACATTAAAGATATGCTATTAAAAAGTTTGATTCCAGATTCATATGAAAACAAATATGTTTTATGATATAGATATTATATAAGAATATTAAAATGTCTGCAGTTCTTGAACATATTCTTCCTTGTGCAGATTATTGAACACTTTGCAAGATGTCTAACATCCCTGGTGCCTACTCTCTAAATATTAGTAATGCTTCACAAGCTATCTGAGAGCCAAAACATCTCAAGAAATGCACCATAGAAAGGTCAAATCTTTCCCCCATTAACCATTTATTGAAATTTTTGTTTCATTTGGAAAACTAACTTTATTTAAAACTGGATTATTCTGTTTTATTATATCTCATTTCCAAAGCCTTGCCAGTGCCTACTTCTTCCCAGGTAAAATTTTTGCATAGTGCTACCAAAATATGCAGTTCTTCCAGTGTACTATGGCATTTCCTTTCTCTATACTGTCACTCGCATGGCATGCTTTGCATAGAAAGTCTTGATCCTATTCCATACATACCTATTCAGTTGTGAAATTAACATCAAAGAATATTTTCCTCCATCTCTTAACTTCTGAGCAGTTTCTTATGTTAGTAACCGCTGAATGCTTCTATCTAAACTCTTCAATGATGTGACATTGGCAAAGTTACGTGTTCTCTTTGAGTATCAATTCCCCAAATTGTAAATTAAGGATATACTAGTATATACATTCTATGATAACCACATTCCATTCTATGATTATCATAATTATTATTATTCAATAAGACTGCATAATATGTGTTGAGCACTGTACTTGCCTCATAATTTCTCAGTAAATGTTTATTATAATTATTATTGGACACAAAATTATTATTGGATCACAATATGTAATCAGTACTGGATTGCAGACATTCTCAACCTTAGTGTCTTTCTATAACAATTACAAGATACTTAAAGAGTTTAAAATTTACAACCAACATTTTCTTCATTTTATAGCAACTTGTAGGAACTCTGTAATTATTTCTTGAAGGAGTTAAATAAATGCATGTATTAATCCTTCACAACATGGGGTGGAGAAAGATTTGAATGTGAAATTTTGGAGATGCTATCTTCTCTTGAATTAATTTGTCTATGATACTATCTTGATGTCCAGAGTTAAAGTTAAAACCTAAATTAACATTGTCCACTACTACACTTCCAGCCCAAATATTGAAATTAAGGTATTGTAGATAGCCCTTATATGGAAAACTAATCAGGACTGGAAAATCCTCAGTTTATTGCCCCATGGAAACAACATTATTCTGCAGGATGTCAGAAGTAGTTTTAAAAAAGGAATAATGAAAATAGTTCAGGAAATACAAGTTAAATCAAGTTAAATGGAGTAATCTAACTTTCTTTATTGCAAACATTTTCAGAACTTTAATAAGATACAAGACATTAAAAGTCTCAAAGAGGAAGATATTTAAAATCGGGGATCCTAATAGTTTATCTACTATATTACTAAAAATGCTTTTTCTTTCTGTTTATAAATATCAGACAGCAACCTTAGGAAGGAATAATAAAAATTACTTCAACTGTTGGCACATGTTACGAGAGAGAACAAATTGATAGCCGTAAAAGAAATAATGTGCAGTTTTAAAAGCAAGTTAAAACTGTTGCTACCTTAGTATTGGCTGAGGTCACAAGATAATAGTCACCAACAATGCCCACAATCCAAAGGGAAGTGTGATATCATCACACCAGAATGTTCCAAAACTCACCTAAGAGTTGGTTTGCTAAACTTTAATGACCTCAAGCCTATGAAAGAGCTTGGAAAGACTGAGTTAACTAGAAATTACAAGACAAATTTTGGAAAGTCATGTCTTTATGTGGTGAATCCCATCCATCCCTGGAGAGATTAGAGTATATTTTCCCCGCTGCTCAAGCCTTGGGGAAAGGCCTTGGTAGGACCACTGGGTGAGATTTACATGTTTATCTTGGAATTTTGATGACACTGCGCATGGATGTCTGACTTATTTCAGTAAAACCAAAGCATGAAAGGCTGTAACTGACTGGCTGCTCTGACAGCATAGTAAAAGCATATCACTGCTTGGTGAAGGCTGCCACTCAGCATTCATCAGAACAAATAATGTTTATGTTGAATCTGGCCCACAGTCTTCTCAGCAGGGCCAGATGAGAGAGTAAACACAAGGGAAAGATGCTGGGAGTACTACATTGTATGTGTAAGTTTTGCAGGAGTTTTAAGTGTTTGGGCGTTGGATCTGCATTCAGCAACATTAAGGTAATGATGGTTTTCAACTAGATCATCAGCAATGATGGAAAGCTCTTATGAGAGCTACACATCATCTATCTATACATCATACAACGAACTATTACAGAGAAATTTTCAGATTTAACTCATGACCAGAAGAAGCAATAGACTACTACATTTTAAATACTGGAGGAACAGGAGAAACTCTAAGCAGGAAAACAGAACAGAAGCTTACCAATAGACTTTAGCACTTTTCCCAGTGCAGAAGCCAGGCTGAAGTATACCCAGCACAAGAGCAAGAAGAAAGTACAACTTAAAAGGTTCTATATTTTATTATTTGAATAAAATATTTTGAGGAGCATACAATAAATTTTAAAAATTTTATTCCATAAGATTTATCAGAAAAGTTGATGAGGATAGATTCAGATTTCAACCAAGATAGAAGAAAAAAATGTATCACACAGAGTGGCTTACAATGGGCAAAGGAAAGAAAATAATGAAGTTAATTTCTATTAATATCCAATGAGTCCCTCTTGTTCAATATACAAATTATATAATCTTTAAAATTTGGTAATATTTTAAATTCCCACTACTCCACTGTCATCATTTTGCTAATGAAAACACTAAGATGCAATAGGGTTAAGCACTTCCCCAAGCTATGTGGCTTTCAGTGATGAGTTAAGTTTAGAAAACAAGTCTCACAGTGCATGGTCCATTGTGACAGTAAAAAGAATGTGCCTTATAAAAGCTTTATGGTATGGCAATGTTCCAATGATTTTCTCTTATTGGCTCCCTTAACATCAGTTCCCAGCTACACCCCTGTCAGCTGAAGTCTCACTGCTATATTCTCTTATTTTTTCTCTGCCCCACATCATATGTTCCTGTAAAAAAATAAGTTATCCTAAAATAACCTAATATATGATGCCACAACTCTGTTAATGGCAGTTCCCTCTCTTATTCTTTAACACTTTTAATCAAAAATTTAAACATTGACAAACAAAGCGTTAGTCCAAAGAATAGTTTTGTAGTTTAATGGACCATTGTAGACATTGGGTGAATCTACCCAGATTGTCTCTATTTATTCACAATTGCATGTTTCAATTAAGCAAAAGACTAGTTGTGATTTTAAAGAAAGATAAAGAGAATTGCATTGAAAACTCATAGGTAATAAACTATTTAATTTTGAAGGATACATATATTAATGTCTATCCTTAGCCCATGTTGAATATCATTTATGTATTCCATATGGCTTGAGCTGCTATTGACTAGTTGAAAAAAAAATACCACGATCTAGTATTTATTTCATCTAATTAAATATTCAATAATTCTGTCTTTAGAATTTTTCCACTTATACTTGAAGCATATTTCTGTCATTGTTATTGTTTTGTGGTTTTTCTTTTCCTCTCCTTTTTTAAACTCAAGCATTTTTACATGTTCTTATTAAACCTTACAAGGCATATGCATATAACGTCACATCACTGCAGGTTTTAGTTGTAAGTTCTGAAACGGACATCTCTTATTCTGGAATTCATTTATTGATATTGAACATTAGCTAATCCACAGAATTTCCAAGTTATCTGGGGAGTCAGTGTTTTGAAAAAAAGCAAAAAACAGATGAACTATGCCTTAAGAGTAATTTTCAAATAATATCACAGGATAATTGTGGTGAGGCTGCTTCTTCCTCTACTCTTTAACACTAAACAATGTAATTCATACTATCAACACTTCCACCCCTCATATTAGCTGCACCTGCTAGCCTTGTGGCCACTGCTATCCTTTATTCACAGCAAATGACTAATGGATGCAGTGGCTCTTCTTATAAAGACAAGAACTCTAGAGGTTAACACAAGTTCTAGATTTCCTCTATCATAACTGCCTGTATTCTTATGGGTAAGTTATTTTACTTTTTTGGGTTTAAGTTTTTATATTTTTGAAGTCAAGATCACTTTCACTACCAATAAAAACTATAAAAGACAAAATATTAACTACGTGTGTGTACACACACACACACACATCTGCTTGAAGATATAGGAACGTGAAACAGCAGGTTGTATAGAAATTCTTGGCCAAGATACAGAAGATGGAAAGTTAGAGAGGTGAATACAATAATTAAAGTTGGATGCCTCAAGGGATAATTTCACTACTTTCAGAGATAGAGCAAAACTATTGACAACTTCACATGGTTAGAGAAGCGAATGTGAAAGTCCATGGCTCACTAAATGTGGGGCATTGGCAAATCTCTTGTACATTTAGTTGGGATTAAGTAATACACTAAAAGTAATTCATTATTTGAGTATTCTAGAGAAATTCAAATTCTGCAATTAAATTCACATGAGTCCAGATGATTGTTGATTTATTGTCTGCAAGTAACAGATGAAAATCCCTTTAAATTTTAAAGATGACAGTAAAGTATATTTAAAAATAAAAAAAATCAAGCTCATGCAGAAATACAGAAACACAGACCCATTCTCCCCACCCCACTCCAATCCAAACAACAATAAAACAGGTAAGACATGGGAAGATAGGCTAGGCGCTGTGGCTCACGCCTGTAATCACAGCACTTTGGGAGGCCAAGGCAGGTGGATCACGAGGTCAGGGGATTGAGACCATCCTGGCTAACATGGTGAAACCCCGTCTCTACTAAAAATACAAAAAAAAAAAAAAAAAAAAAAAAAAATTAGCCAGGCGTGGTGGCGGGTGCCTGTAGTTCCAGCTACTCGGGAGGCTGAGGCAGGAGAATGGTATGAACCTGGGAAGCGGAGCTTCCAGTGAGCCGAGATCGCTGCCACTGCACTCCAGCCTGGATGACTAAGCAACACTCCGTCTCAAAACAAAACAAAACAAAAAAAAGATATGGGAAGATAAAACACATGAATGATAACCAGAAAAAAATACATATCAATGAAGACTCCATATATCAGAATCCTATATGTTCTACATACTTAAAATAAATATATGTTTTATGATAAAGGAGATAAAAGTTATGTTTGAAAATTCCACTGGAGAAAAATCTACGTTCTGGTCGAAAAAAATACCAATAAATATTTTAAAAAGAAAGCCCATGACTCCCCTATGAACACTTGTGCTTCAGAAAGAGATGTTTCTGGAGAGAAATATCTAAGCAAATATTAACAAAAATACACAAAGATATATCACTGTTTCAAAGGCCAGATAATATGAAAATGGCTACTAGAAAATCTGTGTATAAAATCCAGAGCAAGAGCCTATTTTGAAGAGCTCTCTTTTGACCCACTAACCAAAAATGGTAAAGTATTCTATGGCTCACCATTGACGTGTGAACATGACATTATTTTATTCTATTGTCTTGATGAAAGTCATGGGTCTGTGCTTGCAGGTGGATTGCTACAGTGCCCTTGGGAACTAGCCATGGTAGCAAACAGTATATTTCCTTAGGAGATGGGCCTTGAAGCAGTTCTACCTGTGAACTCAAGAAGCCCATTTCTTTCCACTATAAGATATGGCATGACTTACGTCAGCTCCAAAGACTCAGTGTATTTGCTTCAAATGACTTTCAGGATATCACAATCAAGATGATGCCTACTTCAACCTGAATCATGACTATTATTCTTAACTAATAATAGTCTAATGACCCTGCTATCTTTCATCACAGAGTGCTGCTTGGCATATTCTTTAAGAGAAACTGGCTTGGTCATTAACTTTGATTATGAGACTAATCTTCTAGCACTTGATACATACACATAGAAACTTTGAAGCTTCAATTCTGAGTTTCAAAGTTATGTATGCATATGCACATATGCATACACATATTCATGATACATAACAATAACTTAAAGCTGATTCTTCTGTCGACCTACCTTCCTGCTTTAGTTTATATAAATGGCAGTTAATTATTTAAAAGTGTGTTATTTTAAATAAATAATTATATTCTTTCATTATAAAAAGCTATATTGCATAGCATGAATGAGTGTACTCAAAAACTCAACTTATTTTAATTTTAAGTACACTTAAAATAGTCTACTATTTCTGGTGTACATAGGACCTTTTAAATTAACAAGTAATTTTTAGACTTGCTATACAAAACCTCAGGTCATGTGTCTGTTTGTTTCCAAGTAAGAAATAAATGATGTTAAAGATAAAATGTCCTCATATAGATACACAAAATCAGTGATTGCCAGAAATCTGAAGTAAAAGTCATGAATAGTGAAGAGCCAAAAACAGCATATGATCCTTTAATCACCTCATTGTTAGTGTTTACAAAAAAGAACATTGCAAACCTATTATTTAAGTTTGTATTTCCCTTGCCACAACTTACTACCAAATAATCACTAAATGCTTTGCTCAGAGTAGTTTCCCACATACGTTCTTATTATTCTGCTGCTTCCTAGTTTGATGGAAATTTACATTCTGCCGTCTGTGCAAAGACACAGTCCCGGCATTACCACAGCTCTATGACCAAGTTGTCAAATAATTGGTTTGCCAACCACTAAGTCACATAAGGGAATAAAAATCTAAGAGCTTTATTCAATAAGACAAAATAACAAGGATTATAAGAAGTGTTCCAAAGCTATTATGTGTAGGTATTAAAAGTAATTTTTGTTCGGTGTGTGCTTTACACCTACACAATTATCAGACAAAAGTTTTTATAAGAAAATGATATTGTAGGTATTAAATCATTAAGATACATGAAAATATGTGGGTCCTAGAGCATTATTCAATAAGACAATGAAAAGAAGGACTGTAAAATCATCCCAAATATTTGATATGTTTCAGCTTAGAAAAGAATGTCTTAGGTGTTTTATATCAGCATTCCTGTTAACATTTCCCGATTAGCAACTTAACCATCCAAAGAACATTCAAAGTATAAATGTTTAACTTAATTATCCACCAAAGTTAACATATTATATTGTGCTTGAGAATATTTTCAAACCCAATATGATATGATTGTATCTTATCTACCTTACTGGACATATGCTGATCTTATTATAAAGTTTAGTTGAAAGGACAGATAAAATTAAAATCTATGGATATAATATATTAAAGCCAATAACTTTCTACCATATTCTATGAATAAAAATACATTTACTTAAATTAATGTCTCCTTTTTATCTTTTGGCAAAAAATTATTTTTAGGGAAAAATACCCAAATATAAGCAAATTCAAGAGTTTGATTTTGCCTTAAAAAGGTGATGATTTTGCTATTGTGAATAGCACCACAATGACAGAATCACCCTTAGCCAAAATTTCAGCACCACTCAGTATTCCCATGTGACAAACCTGCACATGTACCCCCTGAATCCAAAATAAAAGATAGGGTTTTAAAAAGGTAGTGTTTTGATTACTATTTTAATGTTAAGTTAGTGGTGCTTTTCAATTACTTGTACCAACCACCTAAATGACATCTATTAAGTATTATTCCTCTGTTGAATATACAAATGTGTTTACCATTTTCTCATGGGTTTAAGGATGATCCTGATGTTGTAAATTTTCTAGAGAAAAAATAAATATGATTAGGCCTATCTATGACCTGCAGGTTTCCAAATTCTATATTCACTGAGTACAAGGTATTTTTTATATTCTATCAGTGTCAGCGTTGAAACTCTATCAGAAAAACTGAAGTCCCAAAGGGATCCAAGCAGAAATAAATTATTATAAGGCAAAAGGTGTTTATAATCTTAGAGACATCAAGGTGACCCCCAGTATTTGATGCCTCCTCATGCTCACAACTTCTTTAATCCCTTCCACTTATGTGTGGGCCAAACCTGTGATTTACTTCTCACCAAAAGAATATTCCAAAGGTAATGAGATGTCACACTCATCATTATGTTACATTATATAGTACTATATTTTAGCAGACTGGGTCAGGGGAGAGAAGGAGGGTGAGAAAAGAGGTAGGGAAGCAGAGAGAGAGAAAAAAATGAGAGAAAGAGAGAAAGAGAATTTTCTTTTGAAAATCTTCTTAATTTTCATAAATTAAGAAGTGATGTTGGAGAAGTCCAAATAGTAAGAACCTTCAGGTGGCCTCTAGGAACTATGAGTTCTCTGGGGCCTGAGGGTGGCCTCTAGCTAACCAAGAGAAAATAGTCGGAGCCATCATACAACCAAAAGGAAATAAATAATGCCATCCACTTGTTGGTGTTGGAATTCTTCCCCATTAGAATCTTCACTAGTTATGCTTCCAGATGAGAATCCAGTCCAGCCAACACATCGATGGAGCTCAGGACATAGCTAGGTGGTACATAAACCCCTGACCCCAAAAATCTATGAGATCACAAATATGTTTTGTTTGTAGCTAAATATGTGGTAAATTGCTACACAGAAACAATGAATGCACTATCAAAAAATAAATAATCAAGCTCGGAAAAGATTACTGTTAGCTCTCTCTGGTTTACCCTGGAGGTCTTCGGAATGGAAACTACTAGTGATTAGAGATTCGTATTCTCCCAAGATAAGTGATTTGCATGCATCACAACAACTGAGTTCAATGCAAAATCTTGAATCAAAAATGATCCACCAACTATCCACTGGGATATCGAAGGAAAAAAAAAAGCTTAGGTTTTTCTTTTGCCTTTCAAATATCTTGAGTACCTCTCTTACCTGAATGGAAACAAGAATTCTTCTGGCAAGAGACTCGAAGAAATAGATTCCTCTAACTTGAAACATCTATTTAGCACCTAGTAATAGATGAAAAATGGCATTTTCATGGTTAGATGTACTGCCTCTCTATGAATCTAATTCCTATGGGAGGCAACATGTCATTATATTTTGATTTGCATTTTCCTTATAATTTATGATGTTGAGCAGTTTTTGCTCATGTGATGTTGAGCACACACCTTTTGGCCATTTGTATGCCTTGAGAAATGTCTGTTCAGACCTTTTGCTGATTTAAAAATTATTTAATTTTTTTAATTTTTATTTTAGTTGTTGAATTGTTTGGGTTTCTTATATATGCTAGATATAATCCTTTGTCAGATGCATAATTTACAAATATTTTCTCCCATTCTCCTGGCCATCTATTCACTCTATTGATTCCTTTGCTGTGCAGAAGCTTTTTAGTTTGACATAATTCTATTTGTCTATTTTTGCTTTTGTTGCCTGTGCTTTTGAGGTCTTATCCAAAAATTCCTTGTCCAAGCCAATGTCATGAAACAGTTCCCCTATATTTTTTTCCTAGTAATTTCCTAGTTTCAGTTCTTACATTTAAGCCTATAATCCATTTTTAGTTGATTTCAGTATATGGCAGAGATAAGCATCTAGTTTCATTCTTCTGCATGTGGATATCCAGTTTTCCTAGCACCATTTATTGAAGACACTGTACTTTCCCCAATGTATGTTTTTGGTGTCTGTTGAAGATCATTTGGCATAAGTGTGTAGATTTATTTTGGGGTTCTCTATTCTGTTGTGTTGTGCATATGTGCCTGTTTTTATATCTGTACCATGCTGTTTTGGATTCACTTTACCTTTATGGACATGCACAGACTGAAAGTGAAGGGATAAACAAGTATATTCCATGCAAATGGAGACCGAAGAAGAGCAGGAGTTTCTATATTTATAGCAGATAAATAGACGTTAAGCCAAAGACTATAAAAAGAGACAAAGCCATTCTATAATGATAAAACGGTCAATACAGCAGGAGGATATACAATTCTAAATATATATACACCCAACACTGGGGCACCTAAATATATAGAGCAAATATTAAGAGACCTAAAGGAAGAGACAGACTACAATACAATAATAGTAGGGGACGTCAACACCCCACTCTTAGCAGTGAACATGTTACTCAGACAGAAATCAACAAAGAAACATCAATCAGAGTTAAACCATTTTCTAGACTAAATGGACCTAACAGACATTTGCAGAACATTCCAACCAACAGACCCGAAACATACACTCTTCTCAAGATGGAGCATTCTTTAATATTCTTTTTTTTTAAGGTGGCTGGAATTTTTGTTGCTTCTATTAATTTTTCAGAAAAATATTAGTGAGAAACCAACTGCTCCCAGGTACTAAATTGTGGATATACACAGATAAAAAATAGTGTCTAGATCTGCAAGGGGCTTAGAAACTAGTGAGGCAATGACTTACATCAGTTTGGGCATGGGAAGTAAATGACTATTTTTTAAAATAATTAAAACTTTTATTTTAGATTTGAGGGTACATGTGTAGATTTGTTACATGGATATGTTATATGATGCTGAGGTTTGGGCAACAACTGAACCTGTCACCTGGGAAGTGAGCATAGTACTTAACAGTTTTTCAGCCCTTACCCCTATCCTTTCCTCTCCCCTCTAGAAGTCCCCAGTGCCTATTGTTGCTCTCTTTATGACTGTGAGTACCCAGTGTTTAGCTCTCATTTCTAAACGAGAATATGCAGCATTTAGTTTTCTGTTCCTGTGTTAATTTGCTTAGGATAATGGCTTCCAGCTGCATCCATGTTACTGCAAAGGACTTGGTTTCATTCTTTTTTATGACTGTGTAGTATTCCATGGTGTGTATGTACCACATTTTCTTCATCCCAGTCCACTGTTAATGGGCACCTAGATTGATTCCATGTCTTTGCTATTGTGAATAGTGCTGTGATGGACATACGAGTGCAGGTGTATTTTTGGTAGAATGATTTATTTTCTTTTGGATATATACCCAGTAATAGGATTGCTGGGTCAAATGGTAGTTCCATTTTGAGATATTTGAGAACTCTTCAAATTGCTTTCCAGCATGGCTGAGCTAATTTACATTCCCACCAACAGTGTATATGTGTTCTCTTTTCTCCATAGCCTTGCCAGCATCTGTTGCTCTTTGACGTTTTTATATAACATACTCAGGGTGGGTATGTTTGGTTCCCAACCTATCCAAGTTAAAATGTTTTACCATTTTAAGTTTTACTTGATACCAGTATTCATAGTCAAATAATTTTAGATTTTTTCCTAGAGTTTGCAGTATAAAAAGTCAGGAATAAGATGAGGAAGCTAAAGGAAGAACTTGACTTACAAAAATTCTGAAATACTAGAGAAAGGCTTTAAATAATTAGTTTTGTACAATTATTGATTAGTTGACATCTAATTACAACATATTTAATTGGCTTGGGGCTTGGTGTGTTTATGCTGCTTAATCCTAAAGTTTGTATTCAAGCACTTAAAAGGATCGGTTAATTATTTTTTATTTAAGTTGTTTCTGGAAAATTGTGTAGAATAAAAATAACTCAAAATATATGTGTCCTTTAATACTTCAGCACTTTTGTAAAGTATATAACATTTCTTTGGTTTGCTACTTATCACCTTTTTAATTTTTTTTTATTATTATACTTTAAGTTCTGGGGTACATGTGCAGAATGTGCAGGTTTGTTACATAGGTATACACGTGCCATGGTGGTTTGCTACACCCATCAACCCATCATCTACATTAGGTATTTCTCCTAATGCTATCAATCCCCTAGCACCTCACCCCATGACAGGCCCGGATGTGTGATGTTCCCTCCCTGTGTCCATGTGTTCTCATTGTTCAACTCCCACTTATGAGTGAGAACATGTGGTGTTTGGTTTTCTCTTCCCATGTTAGTTTGCTCAGAATGATGGTTTTCAGCTTCATTCATGTCCCTGCAAAGGACATGAACTCATCCTTTTTTATGGCTGCATAGTATTCCATAGTGTATATTTGCCACATTTTCTTTATCCAGTCTATCATTGATGGGCATTTGGGTTGGTTCCAAGTCTTTGCTATTGTGAATAGTGCTGCAGTAAACATATGTGTGCAGGTATCTTTATAGTAGAAAGATTTATAATCCTTTGTGTATATACCCAGTAATGGAATTGCTGGGTCAAATGGTATTTCTGGTTCTAGATCCTTGAGGAATTGCCGTTCTGTTTTCTGCAATGGCTGAACTAATTTACACACTCCTAGCAACAGTGTGAAAACGTTCCTATTTCTGCACATCCTCTCCAGCATCTGTCTCCTTTTTAATGATCGCCATTCTAACTGGTGTGAGATTGTATCTCATTGTGGTTTTGATTTGCATTGCTCTAATGATCAGTGATGATGCCAATTATGTGATTAATTTTAGAATAAGTGTGATGCAGTGCTGAGAAGATTGTATATTCTGTTGATTTGGGGTGGAGAGTTCTGTAGATGTCTATTAGGTCCACTTCATCCAGAGCTGAGTTCAAGTCCTAAATATCCTTGTTAATTTTCTGTCTCGTTGATCTGTCTAATATTGACAGTGGGGTGTTAAAGTCTCCCACTATTATTGTGTGGGAGTCTAAGTCTCTGTGTAGGTCTCTAAGAACTTGCTTTATGAATCTGGGTTCTCCTGTATTGGATGCATATATATTTAGTACAGTTAGCTCTTGTTATTGCATTGATCCTTTACCATTATGTAATGCCCTTCTTTGTCTTTTTGATCTTTGTTGGTTTAATGTCTGTTTCATCAGAGACTAGGATTGCAACTCCTCCTCTTTTTTTTGCTTTCCATTTGCTTGGTAAATATTCCTCCATCCCTTTATTTTGAGCCTATATGCGTCTTTGCATGTGATATGGGTCTCCTGAATACAGCACACTGTTGAGTCTTGACTCTTTATCCAACTTACCAGTCTGTGTCTTTTACTTGGGGCATTTAGCCCATTTACATTTAAGGATAATATTGTTATGTGTGAATTTGATCCTGTCATTATGATGCTAGCTGTTTATTTTGCCCATTAGTTGATGCAGTTTCTTCCTAGCATCGATGATGTTTACAATTTGGTATGTTTTTTCAGTAGCTGATACTGTTTTTTCCTTTCCATTTTTAGTGCTTCCTTCAGGAGCTCTTGTAAGGCAGGCCTGGTGGTGAAAAAATCCCTCAGCATTTGCTTGTCTGTAAAGGATTTTATTTCTTCTTCACTTATGAAGCTTAGCTTGTCTGGATAGGAAATTTTGGGTTGAAATTTTTTTTCTTTAAGATTATTGAATATTGGCCCCCACTCCCTTCTGGCTTGTAGAGTTTCTGCCGAGAGATCCACTTTTAGTCTGATGGGCTTCCCTTCGTGGGTAACCTGACCTTTCTCTCTGGCTGCCCTTAACATTTTTTCCTTCGTTTCAACCTTGGTGAATCTTAAAATTATTTGTCTTGTGGTTGCCCTTCTCAAGGATCATTTTTGTGGTGTTCTCTGTATTTCCTGAATTTGAATGTTGGACTGTCTTGCTAGGTTGGGGAAGTTCTCCTGGATAATATCCTAAAGAGTGTTTTCTAACTTGGTTCCATTCTCCCTATCACTTTCAGGTACATCAGTGAAACATAGGTTTGGTCTTTTCACATGGTCCCGTATTTCCTGGAGGTTTTGTTCATTACTTTTCTTTTTTTTTCTCTGATTTTGTCTTCACACTTTATTTCATTAAATTGATCTTCAATCTCTGATATCCTTTCTTCCGCTTGATCAATTAGACTATTGATACTTGTGTATGCTTCACGAAATTCTTGTGCTGTGTTTTTCAGCTCCATCAGGTCATTTATGTTCTTCTGTAAACTGGTTATTCTAGTTAGCAATTCCTCTAACCTTTTTTCAAGATTCTTAGCTTCCTTGCATTGAGTTAGAACATGCTCCTTTAGCTCAGAGGAGTTTGTTATTACCCACCTTCTGAAGCCTACTTTTGTCAATTCCTCAAATTCATGCTCTGTCCAGTTTTGTTCCCTTGCTGGCAAGGAGTTGTGACCCTTTGGAAGAGAAGAGGCATTCTGGCTTTTAGAATTTTCAGCCTTTTTGCACTGATTTTTCCTCATCTTCGTGGATTTATCTACCTTTGGTCTTGGACACTGGTGACCATCTTTGTTGGGATTTTTCTGTGGAAGTCCTTTTTGTTGATGTTGATGCTAATCCTTTCTGTTTGTTGGTTTTCCTTCTAACAATCAGGACCCTTTCCTGCAGGTCTGCTGGAGTTTGCTGGATGTCCACTCCTGACCCTCTTTGCCTGGGTATCACCAGCAGAGGCTGCAGAACAGCAAAGATTGTTGCCTGTTCCTTCCTTTGGGAGCTTCATCCCAGAGGGGCACCCACCAGATGCCAGCCAGAGCTCTCCTGTATGAGGTGTTTGTTGATCCCTGCTGAGAGGTGTCTCATAGTCAGGATGCACAAGGGTCAGGGACCCACTTGAGGAGGCAGTCTGTCCCTTAGCAGAACTTGAGCACTGTGCTTGGAGATCCACTGTTCTCTTCAGAGACAGCAGGCAGGAACGTTGAGTCTGCTGAAGCTGCACCCACAGCTGCCCCTTCCCCCAGGTGCTCTGTCCCAGGGAGATAGGAGTTTTATCTATAAGCCCCTGACTGGGGCTGCTGCCTTTCTTTCAGAAATGCCCTGCCCAGAGAGGAAGAGAAATCTAAAGAAGCAGTCTGGCTACAATGACTTTGCTGAGCTGTGGTGGGCTCCACCCAGTTCGAACGTCCCAGGGGCTTTGTTTACACTGTGAGGGGAAAACTGCCTACTCAAGCCTCAGTAAAGGGGGACACTACTCCCCCCACCAAGGTCGAGAGTCCCAGGTTGACTTCAGATGGCTGTGCTGGCAGTGAGAATTTCAAGCCAGTGGATCTTAGCTTGCTGGGCTCTTTGGGGGTGGAATCCGTGGAACTAGACCACTTGGCTCCCTGGCTTCAGCCCCCTTTCCAGGAGAACGAATAGTTCTATCTCACTTGTGTTCCAGGTGCCACTGGGTTATGAAGAAAAACTCCTGCAGCTAGCTTGGTGTCTGCCCAAATGGCCACCCAATTTTGTGCTTAAAACCCAGGGCCCTAGTGGTGTAGGCACCTGAGGGAATCTCCTGGTCTGCAGGTTGCAAAGACCATGGGAAAAGTGTAGTATCTAGGCCAGAATGTACCATTCATCATGGCATGGTCCCTCAAGGCTTCCCTTGGCTAGGGGAAGGAGTTTCCTGACCCCTTCAGCTTCCTGGTTAAGGCAACACTCCACCCTGCTTCTGCTCACCCTCCATGGCCTGCACCCACTGTCTAACGAGTCACAATGAGATGAGCTGTGTACCTCAGTTGGAAATGCAGAAATCGTCTGCCTTCTGTGTTGATCTCACTGGGACCTGCAGATTGGAGCTGTTCCTATTTGGCTATCTTGCCAGCCAATTCCATAAATGACTATTATTAAGAAGTCCCCTACTGTTATTTAAGAGAGAGTTACCCTTAATCTATAGCTTGAATTATAGAGAGAAAAGAAAAGGAAGGAGGTAGTGAGACAGTGGTGATCCATGGAAGCAGTGATCCATATTTTAGCTTCTATCTTTCCCTTTTCTTTCAGAGTTGAGACTGTTTCAATCTCTCTCATTTTCTCTTTCTGACTTAATTTATAAACTCTGCTGATGCGAGCCAAATCTGAATTACATCTGGATCACAAATCTAAAAATACATTCTTTATTCTTGCTCAATCTCTTTTACTTTTGTGTTGGAGATAAATGAAGGAAAAATATGAAAAAAAAATTGCTTGCTTGAATTACAATGCTTGCTTGCATATATGCTCATTAACAATCATTTTGGCCAAGGCAGTTTTAAAATTATTTTTATTACTCCTACTTTGATAAAGCCTTTAATTGCAGCAACATATCTTGGCTTTTTCTGTTGTCACCCCCTCGCCACCCCATCACTGTCAACATTGAACACAATGTATATATATGTTATGTCCTCAAGAGATACTTTTTGAAATGAATTCCAACCTCATGGTGTGGTCTTTTCATAACCCTGCAGAGTAATTTAGCTGAAGTCATCTCAAACTTATGATTCAAGTGTCTCTAAACACATAGGCAAACAGATATGCATTGTAATAATCTCTTCAAGTTAAATAGCACTTCATCAATAATCAGGTATA
The DNA here is from genome assembly GCF_000001405.40 of Homo sapiens. NCBI lineage: Eukaryota > Metazoa > Chordata > Mammalia > Primates > Hominidae > Homo > Homo sapiens. The sequence goes on from NC_000010.11 coordinate 55,924,710, forward strand.
TTGGGATGAGATGATTTCTGGTGTGTCCTTAGTGTGTTTTAGAAGAAATTATTTTATTGTTTCCTTACTTTGTAGAAAGCATTTTCATTTCCATAGTCAGTATGAAGTAAGTCAGTTCACAGGCACTGTTAATGTTCTTCAGATAAATAAAGATACTTTTCTTTTTACTTATAAATTTCATACCTTTGACAGTTTCCTGGTTTCCTAGATTAGTATGATAAAAAATTAAGTTGCATGTTGAGAATTTTAAAAACAGAAATAGAAGATTGTCTGGCACACATTTCTGGTTTTTAGCCACAATTACTTTTTTTAGTTACATATTTTCTAGTATTTTTTTTAAATTTTAGTACAAATAGAAAACATTTTGAAAGTAAAACCCAGAAGACACATATTTTGTATATATCTTTATGACAAATTGTCTATTGCAGCAGAGAAAATAGTCTGCAGACTTGTCATCAAGATTCATTACAATCGCTATTGTTTCACATAAAGAAGAATTTAGCCTACAAAATAAAGCAGAAGGACTTTGGGAACTGCTACTTAAAATGAGATGAGAGTATGAATTGTGTTAATGCAGATAAAGCAGTCTTGACAAGAATATCTTTAGATTGAATGCACCAATCATTGGTATTCTCTGGAAAGTAAGTGACTGCATTTTGATTACCAACTCAAAACACCACTATTTGGGGGTAAATTAAAAAGTTTATAGCTAAATGCAGAACTTGAATTCAACTTATTCATAGACATGAGGCAAAGCAAAGAAAAAAAAATTGCCAGTGAACCAGAAATTGTGTGGTAAATTTTAATGTAGTCGTGATGTGAAGAATAAGAAATGCTATAGAAAACAAATAGTATTTTACTCTTTTAATTTATCAAATTTGAAAGCACAATGTGAAGATTACATTTTTATTAGTTCAAAAAAAGTAGAAATATTTACCATTTGCTGTGAGATTGTTGTGCAGCTCTGAGCCAGCCATTGATAGCTGAGTTTCCCTATGAAGTGACTGCTTCATCAGAATTATATGGTTTATATAATCATTATTCATATTCCTTGGCCCCACCTTAGTCATACTCAATCAAATTACCAATATTAGACATAGAAATTTAAATATTTCCTTCAGGTTATTTTTAATATATACTCACATTTGAGAATCATGGCTCAAAAGCATAGACGTTTCTATAAACAATTAGCTCAACACCCTCAAACTCATTTGTAAATTAAGAGGGTTTATATTAAAAGTCATCAGAACAGAAACTTCAAAGAAGAAAATATTCTTAGAAAATTCACAAAATTGATACCCATTGTATAACTTTGAGTTTAAAAATATTTTAATAAATAGGGATGAGAAACAAAAGTTTCAGTTGATTAATTCACTTATGTGAAAACATTTATGGAGGTCTTACCCAAGAGTAGTGTCCTAAACACTGAGGGTATAGTGATGAATACAAAAAACTAATAACAATTTCTGCTCTCCAAGCGGCATCAACATTTTTTTCCACAACAATCTAGGGGACGAAGCAGAAAATAATAACGTAATAAGTAAACTATACAGTAATAATACCACTTTTATAAGTTTTTCTTTGTCTTTGGGTTTCCAACAGTTGTGCTATGATTGTTACGTATGTGGTATGGCTGTGTTTGTGTGTATGTGTGCGTGTGTGTGTTTAGTGTTTATAAAGAAGGTGATTAGTTTGACGTCTTTTGTCAGTTTTATTTTGTTTTCAGGAAGTATTTTCTCAAATAATGTTTACCATTTGCTGTGGGATTGTTGTGCAGCTATGAGCCAGCCCTTGATAGCTGAGTTTCTCTATGAAGTGACTACTTCAACAGAATTATAGGTTTATATATTCATTATTCATATATCTTGGCCCCTCCTCAGTCATATTCAATCAAAATTACCAATATTATTAATAGCCATCTTTACACCAATCCTCTGAGTCACAAATTATGTTTTTTAGAACTATAAATTATTTCCTATGTTACGTTTAGGCTCTCTTGTATAGTTTCTAGCCAAACTTCTTTCTGTGCCTTAATGGAAGTACTTTCTACTCTCTATTTTTTAGTTTACCAATCTTCCCTTGTATTGTGTCTGCTTTTGATCATACCATTTGACACTACATTTTTAAATAAATTCAAGCTCTAAGATGAAATATTTTATCTTTGAATGTACTTCTGTAACATGGTTTTCAGAGTTATTTTTAAATAACTGTCCTGTAACTCTTACATTCAGATAAATTTGAATGCATTTCAATGTGTTTTTATTATTTGTTTCTATCTCTCTCTTTCTCTCTCTCTCTCTGTGTGTGTGTGTGTGTGTGTGTGTGTGTGTGTGTTTGGGGAGAGGCTGTGTGTGTATGTTTGTATGTGTAATATTACATCAGAGAGGAATTAATTTTTTTATCAGGAAATAATGTATTCAGAGACCTGCTTAACTCATTTGAATCTGATCCATTTATCATAAGCTCATTCTTGTTAGGAATGTCCTTTGTGGATCCACAAGTGGAAGTCTGGATAGTGTCCACACCCTCTCCACTCTGGTAAGCTCTGAATCCTGTTTTGTTTTTCCTATACAATGAGAAACAAGGTTTTGGTTTCTTAACAGATATTTTCTACCTGGTTTCTCTGATTCTTACTCCATGCATACAAAACATATGTGTTGACAAATGCTTTGTTAGTTTCATATTGCTTTGTTAAAAATAAAAAATAACAAACTGGAGGCTTAAAATAACACACATGTATTTCCTAGCAGTATTTCCAGGTCAGGAATCTAGGCATCCTTAGCTGTTTCTTATGCTCAAAGTCTTACAGGCTACATCAAGATGTTGGACAGACATCCCAATTGGAGGCTTAAGAAGAGAATAATTCACTTTCAAGCTCATTCAAATTGTCAGAAAAATTTATTTTCTTGTGTCTGTATGACCAAAGCTTTTTGTTGGCTGTCACCTAGAGACTGCCCTCTCTGATCCTAAAGATGCTCACCATTCCTATAGCCATTTGGCAGTTATCTTCTATGTGAGATTTTCCAACATGGCTTCAGACATCAGTAAATCAATAAGAGATAAACCTCAGTTGGAGCATATATATATAAATATATATATATACCGACACACACACACACACACACACACACACACACACACACACACACACACATATATATACTTTTGAGACAGGGTTTTATTCAGTTGTTCAGGCTGGAGTGCAGTGGCATGATCATGGCTTACTGCAGGCTTGGCCCCCTAGGTTTAAGGGATCCTCCCACCTCAGCCTCCTATTTTTTTTATTTTAATTTTTTTTTTTGTAGGGACAGAGTCTTACTATGTTGCCCAGGCTGGTCTTGAACTCCTGGGCTCAAGCAATCTTCTTGCTTCAGCCTTCCAAAGTGCTCAGACTATAGTCGTGAGCCACTGTGCCCAGCCCCGATTCCATTTATAAAAGCCTTCGCCTGATTACATGAGACTTGGCTGATATAATCTCTCAGCTGATTACCTCAAAATAAACTGATTTAAAAACTTATTTGTATATGGAATTTCACATTTGCCAAGTCTCATTGACTGAAAGCAAGTCACATGTCTTCCTTGCACCCAAGGGGAAGAGATTATACAAAACATGAGCAAGAAATTGTAAATGCCATGAGGACTGTCCTAGGGTCTTTCACAGATGCCTAGTAAGAAATTGCTCCCAGTGTATCAGACACACTTATCTTAGTTGCCTTTTATTTATGTTTTTGGATCTTTAATTTATGACTCCATGAAAAATGTGAATTTATATTTATTTATTTATTTATTTTTGAGATGGAGTCTCACTCTGTCGCCCAGGCTGGAGTGCAGTGGTGAGATCTCGGCTCACTGCAACCTTGGCCTCTCAGGTTTGAGTGATTCTCCTGCCTCAGCCTCCCGAGTAGCTGGGATTACAGGTGCCTGCCACACACCCAGCTAATTTTTTTATTTTTTAGTAGAGATGGGGTTTTGCCATGTTGACCAGGCAGGTGTTGAACTCCTGACCTCAGGTGGTCCGCCTGCCTCAGCCTCCCAAATTGTCGAAATTACAGGCATGAGTCATCGTGCCCATCCCCAAATTTAAATTTTTACCTCCAAAATCTAGTGAAACTTTTGTAAGTCCTAGTCAGCTGCTTTCTCTTTGAGTTTTGGCCAATGAAATGAATTGATAAATATCCCATAAGGGACAAAAATAATTGCCTTCTTTCCCCTTCAAATCCTGCTTCCTTGGTTGTTCTTTGCACCTCAAATTGCTCTTTCTTATTTTATTTGTCGGGTTGGTTGGTTGTGTTGTTTATTGCAGTTTTTACAGTTGTTCTCAGGCAGAATACTTCTGACACCAGCTGCTTCATCAGAGCTAGAAGCAGAAGTTTGATAGAGTTTGATGGTACAAAATTATTTTAATCTTTTGCAAAATCCAATTCCTTCTTTTTTGAAATAAGTTTACTTGGCTTTACATAATACAGTAGATAAGGTATAACTTAGAAGAATTATTGTGTTCCTGTTTATACACCCTTTACTTAACTCTATTAATATAAATGGATGTTTTGGGAATGTTAGTGTTTTAGTATTCCAAGAAAAGAAGGGAAGCAGATTCAAGTTAAAAAAGCTATGTTTAAATTCACATTGTAACTTTGTTGCCATCAGTGATAGTGGCAACTGAGAACATGGATGAAAGCCTTAATCACCCTATAATCTTCATTAATCTCTTCCCCATCAGTCTTTGAGAAGGATAATAGATAGTTTCTCAACCATAATAAGGGGAAATGTCAAGCCCAATTCAAATCAGATCCTTAATCCTAAGCCCTTCCTGTAGAAATTTCTGGAGTTTCCACTAGTTGCCAACTATAGTCCTTATTTATGGTACAATTAATTGTCTGATTCAATTTCCTCAGGAAATCTGGCAATAAAAGAGAAACTTATTTTCCGAAGGTTGAAATACCCCAGAATTAAGGTGATTTGTCAGTGGCTACATATGAAAGCAACAATAAGCCTTTTAGGATTTTAGGTTTCAATTAAATAAAACTTACAACATCATTAATATACAATATTATCATTGGAGAAAACATAATTAAATATGGCAAGTTATGGAGCCAGACTGATATGTTCCAATGATTGCAGAAGTTATTTTAACCATTTGATATTTGGTTTTCTCTTCTATGAAACCAGGTTAATAATATCAATGGTCAACACGTGTCTTTATTGAGTATAAAAATAACATAAAATGTGTATAGTATAATATAGTATAGTATATTTAAAAAATATAAATCTGTTTTTAATCTCTCTTTTTCCCCAATTTTTCTCTTATTTGTTTTCCCTCCTCCAAGCAGATAATTAATAAATGCATATTTTCTCAAGGGAGAGTTTTGTCTAAGTAGAAAATAGAAACAAATATCCATAGATGTGTTTTCTAAAAGCTTAAATTATCCAGAGAGAGAGAGAGAGAACTTGTTGGCTTAAGCAAAGTACTTATGAGATATATAAGAAGCACTTCTCCCCAAGAATGGAGAGAATGATGTTAAGCCTAGAGTAAGGAGAATAAGGAAAAATGAGTAATTATTACACCAGGAGAGAGGAGCCCTCCACCATGCTTCCTCATGGAGCAACTGGGGTAGTAGAGCAGCCCTAGAGATATTTGTAGCACCTGAGAGTGAAAGCAACCTGTGTCCTGCTTCTCAGAAATAGCTCCAGTGAGAGAATGGTTCCATGAGATGTCCAGAGAGCTCAACTTTCAACCCTGGGTGAAGCTGATTAGTGATTTCAGAGGGTTTGTGAGGCCAATGGTGCTCAGGAAATTTGGCAAAACACCTAAACTATATCTAATATTTTGAACTATATGAAAATGAAATTGTATTTTTGCACACATAATTGTCTCCTAATATTCTTACCTTTTATAGTAATAGCAATAAAAAAGTATTATTATAGTGTATGCCATGTATTAGTACATTTGCAACTTTAGATAATATTTCTCCCCCTTCACAATGTAATTTTAGGCTAACGACTAAAGCAAATTCTATTCCTGACTTAAAAATCTGGGCCAATGTGAAACTTAACATGATCTAAAGATAAAACCTTTAGAAAACAATAACAGTAAGCTTCACAATGTTATAGTAAATTTTCCTAAGAGAAAAAGGAGGAATACAAAAATGTTCAATATCATAATGCAATATGAAACATCAGCAGAGATCTTACAGCCATTAAAATGAGCAAAGAAAATATTGTGCAAATGCATGCCTATAAATTATGTAAAATTGACAAGTTTCATGAAAGATGCATATTATCAATATGACACAAAAGAAATAAAAAATGTGTCTATTCCTATATCTATTAAAGTAATTGAAATTGAGGTTAAAAGCTTTCCTGCAAAGAAGTCTCCATGGAACTCAGATGACTTCAGTGGTGAACTTCACCAAATTATACATAAAGAAATAATAGCAATTTTGGAAAAATCTTTAATAACATGATGAGAAAGGACAATTTTTCATGTCATTTTATGGATCCTGTGTTTCCTATGTACAAAATTAACCAAATCGGGGCTCCCATCTTCCCCAGCCTGCTGTTGTCCTCACTGCCTCTTCCTATCAGGATGATGGTGAAGCCAGCCATGGTTTTCCCAGGGCCAGTCTTAAGGTATCTAATAAAGTCTGAACTCTTCCCTACAAAAATATTAAATAAAATAAAAATCTAAACATTAATATTCCCGTAAGCATAAACTCAAAATCCCTTAAGATGTTTTAGCCAAAGGAAATCCAGCAATTCATGAAAAAAGGTATACACCATGACCAAGTTGTATTTATCTCAGAAATTAAAGAAAAATCTATAGATAATTATAATAATACAATTCTAAGTTATTCCTCTCTATGATTAAAATCTTCCTGAAAAGGTCCATCCTCTCCATTCTATTCATCATTGTGCTGGGATCTTAACTATTGCTATAAGGCAAGAAAAGGAACTAAAAGGCTAACAAATTGGAAAAATAAACGAAATAACTTTATTGAGATATGACATACTCATGTAGTTAGAAAAGCCTAGGAAATTTACAAAAATGCTGCTAGAACTCACATATGAGGTAAAGATGTTTTAAGATATACTATCAACAAACATTTGCCATTTCTATATGCTCTCAATGAACAATATTAAATTGAATTTTAAAGTTTTAATGTAAATGCCATTTAAAGTAGCTTCAAAAACATTACATTTTTCGGTATGTATTTAGCAAAGTATGTGTAAGATCTGTGTACTGAGAACTACAAAACACTGCTGAAAGAAATTAAACCCATATAAATTGAGAAATATACAATGCTATTGGATTACAAAAAACAATATTATTATATTAGTTATCCCTAAATTGATGTGTAAATGTAGTGTAATACTAATTAAATCTCAGCCAAACAACTTTGAGAAAGAATAATAGATTGTGAAGATATTTATTTATTGTTTTTAATACTTAACATAATGTCTCTGTACTAAAGGCAGTATATTTGGTTAAAAAAAAACAACATACAGATCAATAAAACAAAACAGAAGGTTTACACATAAATGCCCATACATACGATTAATTGCCTTTCAATATGAATTTCAACTAATTTGAATAAGAAAAAGGTAGTTTTTTTCAATCTATGGTACTAGAAAAATTGTATATTCAAGTTAGAAATAAAAAATTGTTTGACTTTACCTGTCACTAAACTAAAAAAAAAAGTAAGTAAAATGAGTAATAACTCTAAATGTAAAAGCTAAATTTGTAATTTAAGAATAAAACATAGGAGCAAATCTTCTCTGCTGGAGAGTAAACAAAGATTACTTAGATAGCACACAAAATACAGGAAACATGAAAGAAAAAACATTATAAATTTGACTTACCATGACCATTTAAATATTTTGCTCTTTAAAAGATTTCAATGAGCATATGACAAGCCACAAATTGGAAGAAATGATTCATAATTTATATATATATTAAGGACTTTCTTAGAGTATGTTTAAAGAGAATTTACAACTCAATAATAAAAAAATACAATTTTTACAAGTGAGCACAAATTTGAATAGACTTACCAAAAGACGATACATGAATGGCTAAGAAGCACAGGAAAAATTGCTGTACATCAGTAGACATTAAGAATGTGTAAATGAAAAGCAAAATTTTATAAAACCACACAAGTTCTAGAATGGCTAAAATTAAAAAGACTGACGATAAAATTTGTTGACTACAGTAAGGAGAAACTGAAAATTTCATATGCTGTTGGTGCAGTATCCACGGGGTCTTTTGAAATACTTACTCTGGGTACATCCAGTTTTCCTATAAGAAGTGTTAGTAGTCTGAGATCACTGCACAGTGGAAAAATCCAACCTTGCCACATAGAGAGGACATGTGGAGTCAGAGATACCCAACTAACACCATTATTTTCCTTCCATTCCATCCCAGATGCTAGTTATGTGAATAAGAAAGCTCTTATAGGTCCACAGCCTTGGCTATCACCTGACTAACAACTTAAGGGATCCCAAGTAGGAATCACCCAGACAGCCTGGAAAACCTTGAGAAATGGTATTAAGTTTTTGTTTTAAGTCACTAGGATTTGGAGTATATTATTAGAACTTGAAAAGGATTGCAAGTAATTGACTTGGTTTCACATGTAGGTGGAACAGGGAAATGTGCAATATTATATCTAGGGACTGAAAAATACCCTCAATAACAAGAACAATACAAATATCAGTTCTGAATTCACTCATGATAATTTATATTTCAAATTTTTCACTTAAACTTTTTCCAGGGATAAATACTATTAATACTCTCTGAAGATAATTACTTTAAACTTTTTCAATCACACATGAATTAGAAAGATGAAATCACTAGATATTCTTTACTAATGAGATGGTGGAGGTAGTTTCTCTATAAATTCAGAGAAACAAAAGTACCAGATAGAAGAAATAAGTTTCCATTTCAAGTTTGATTTTAGCTAAATTTGACATAAGTTAATTGAAAGAAAAGTAAGCTTATTTTAATTTATGTTGCATTTCACCTGTCTCAAACAATTATGTCTTTTCAATATCTAATATCTATGCTCAGAATATTAAAATTCAGTGTAAAGCAATCCAGAAAAATACCATAACAGCATTTTTCTTTTTTATGTTGACCCCATGAACTTGTTAAACTGATAAGAACAGAAAATTTATCTTAGCCATAAAGCCAAGAAGCAATGCATGAAATTTTAAATGGGTTTTTCTAGTTAACATTTTTTTTAACTTTCTGGGTAAAAAGAAATATATATTAAATTCATGTTTAAATAAATAATCTAAAATGGATTTAATTTTTAGTGAAATTTAATTTCAAACTTTTGCTTTCTTACTGACTTTTCTTGGTCTCTGGGGCCCAAAATTTTTAGACAACACTTTATAATTGCCTCAGAAATACAGCTCTGGTATTCTATGATATATAGATTGTCAAAAGGCACTCGCTTAGGAATTATGAAACCAGTATACTAAACCCGTCATCTGATATTAATTACAATATTAATTTTGGTTAAAGTCTCAAGGAACAGTGCCTGATTTGGCATTTTCCTTACTTTCTGTCACTAGAACAGGAATATTTCAGACAGTGATAATCCGTTAGTCCAAAGTAAGTAAATCACTGAGTTAACATCCTAGCAAATTTGTGATAACCATGTAATATGAGTGAGAAATTAACATTTGTTTCATAGAACCATTTAGAATTGAAGCCATGGTATAACAAAACACCCTAATGATAAAAACAATTGACTGTGGAAGTGTGATATTGTCATCATGCCCATATGCACACACGCATCTATGTAAACATACACCTCACACACCATACACCACTTAAAGGCCAGATGGCAATTAATAAAGACATTGTTCTCAAAGCCCGGGAAAGTAGCATTTGTGTTATATAAGGGATATATACCTTGTAAAGCTGTGACTAAAATAACTTGAACTTTTACCATTAGAAGAGGAAAGCATAATGCTAAATGTTAGTAGTGTGAGTTGATTGCTATTGACCATGTTTGTCCAGTAAGCATCAGAAAAAGCTATGCACAAAAATAACTTTCCTGATTTTGAAGGTAGTAACAATAGAAAATAAAATAAGTCCACAAATTCAGGCATATATGAGACTGAAAAGGACAATTGCTTTTCAATCTCAAAAAATAAAAGATAAGCAAAACTGCTATGAAAAATAAGGACTAATTGAAAATCAGGCTGAGTAAAGGATGAAATCAAAGGTATATTCATCACACCATAAATTAAATCTGAATGACTTGAAGTGGTGACTCACAAATTTTTTCAGTAATAAGATGGCTCCAAAAAATAGATTAAAATATTTGAGAATTCCACAAATTTGTAGGCTCAATGACGAGAAAGCAAAGATATACAGCAAATCTTAGAAAGATGTCTATAAAATTTTTTTTGTTATTGGTGTATGAAACTGGATTCAAATAGATAAGAAGTCTTTGGTTTCAGGCTAACTGCTAAAGCAATTTCTATTCTGACCTTTAAAAACCATCTGTACTGGTTTAAGTCTTAATATGATTTTTTAGTCTACAAACATCTACAGAGAAGAGAAGCAGGCTAGAAACGCTATTTAGCATCCAAGCGGGGCATGTCATCATAATAACAAAAGTTCCCTATGTATATCTTACATTATTTCCCATTTTCAAAGAAAGATTCTACTGTATTAATCCTGTCTCTTTGTCATGATATATATTTGATGTGTGAGGACAGATGTAAATCTATATATTCGGACCATTGAGTGGCTCCCCTAGTTTATAAACCTACAGATGGAGAGGAGCTACCCAATAGTCTGAATAGATACAAATATTACAATTTGGTATAGCAAACTATATTAGCCTAATGAGAAAGGGAACAGAACACATTTGTATGAAAAGCTTCCAAAGAGCTAGTAATTTACAAAGTCTTTTTATGGGCAATACCTGGAAAATGTATTAAACATGAGAGTGTAATTTATTTTATACTATAATATTTTTGTTCTATTCTAATTCTGAATGTTTTATTGTATACCAAACTCACTTAATTTGAATTATTCATAATAATATATTTTTTAAAAATGTGATGCACTGAGACCTATTTCTGCTTAGAAATTTTCTCAGATGTACAGCATCTCCCTTTTTAAACTAAACAATTGTCTTAGGTCTAATCTGAATCTTATTCCTTAATGGAAGAAAATAATTTGTAGAAAATCATCTTGAAAGATATGGAATTGAAGGAATTGTGTCAGTCTCTATAAATAATATTTAGATATGGTAAATATTTAGACATGGTAAAGCAATTTTGGTCAATTTACCAGGTCTTTGGAGTTTTTAAACATATTTAAGCGTGAGCCCTTAACAAGTCTTGAAATATATACTTTGCTTCAATTCTATTTTTAGATACAGAAAATCCCTGGCTTATTAGAACTGTTTCCTTGTTCCCTATTACCTATGACCACAACTTCTTTGTATCACCTACCATTTACAAAATTTATCCATTTCATAAAATATCCCTCCTTGAAATTCACAGTAAGAGTATATTGGCCTTTATTTTAGTGGTTCCAAAGAAAACAGGGCAAATTCATATATGAAGTCTAATTAAATAAAGGCAGATGGCTACATATTTTCTCTTCCTGGTAGGGACAGATCGGTGTAAGAAGGCTTAAAGTCAACATGAAAGGTTTAGAAAATCACACTTTGAAAAGTAATAGCCAATCTACTTTAGATATCGTTATAGTTTGATATTTGTCCTCTCCAAATCTCATGTTGAAATTTAATTCTCAGTCTTGGAGGTAAAGCCTGATGGTAGGTGTTGGGTCATGTGGGTAGATTCCTCATGAATGTCTTGGTGTTGTCCTCCCAGTGGTCAGTGAATTCCCACTCAATTAGTTCCCAGGAGACCTGATTCTTAAAAAGAGTCTGGTGCCACCCTCCCCTCTCTGGTTTCCTCTTTCACCATGTGATGCTGCCTCCCCTTTTTCTCGCTATGAATGAAAGCTTCCTGAAGCCCTCACCAGAATCAGATACCGATGCCATGCTTCTTGTAGAGCCTGAAGAACAGTGGGCCAAATACAACTCTTTTCTTCATAAATTACCCAGCCTCAGATATTCCTTTATAGCAATGCAAATGGACTGAGACAATTATTTTCCAGAAATTCCTGGAGTGAGTGTAAACATAAAACAAAGAGACTTCGCAACTGATTCTTGACCAACTTCTTTTAAAGGAGTTCCTAATAATGTCATTAATAAAAATTACAAAAAAAAAAAAACCCTAAATGGGCTTCTGAAACAAATAATTACTGTGAATTTTTAAAAATAACACAGGACCTATTTTGAGTCATTCACTATTGATAAATCAGGTAGTTACTGAGTTAAAATATGCTGAAATTCATATGAAAAATAAATAGTAAAGCCAACACAATTTATTCAGATTTTTTATGAAATGTTTATGTTTAAATTCAGGGCTTAGGTGAAAGTCAGAACATGAAACGTTTTACTGATTGTAGATGAAGTGAAAGAAATTGTTATCCCCATGCCATAAAGAAAGAGACAGGCATGTCTGACTCCTGTTTATTTTAACTTTGGTACTGAAAACAATTCAAGTTCTGAAACCATGTTCGTGTTACATGTATCGGACAAGGGGAAATTATACGTTACATATAGAAGAGCTCATAAAGGATAATAACCTAAAAAAGTCCAATAAAGTATAGTTGTAGAACATAAAGCAGGCAATTAAATGGGAGAATGGCTAATAAATATATAAAATATCTTGATATTTACTATGAATAAAATAATTGCACATGAAAGCATAATTTAAAAAATACACAACTGTAGAATTTGTATATATACAAAAATATACCACAAAAATTATGCAAATAAAATTTGCAATTTTAAGTTGTATTTAAAAATACAGGTTTTCTGGCCAGGCGTGGTGGCTCACGCCTGTAATCCCAGCACTTTGGGAGCCAAGGCAGGCGGATCATGAGGTCAGGAGATGGAGACCAGGACTGGCTAACATGGTGAAATCCCGTCTCTACTAAAAATACAAAAAAATTTAGCTGGGCATGGTGGCAGATGCCTGTAATCCCAGCTACTTGAGAAACTGAGGCAGGAGAATCACTTGAACACAGGAGGCGGAGGTTGCGGTGAGCCGAGATCACTCCGTCACACTCCAGCCTGGGCGACACAGCGAGACTCCGTCTCAAAAAACAAAACAAAACAAAACAAAACAAAACAAACAAAACAAACAAACACAGGTTTTCTGTGATAACACACATGCTGCAGTAATCCAACCAGATAGTAAGACTTTCTATTTTCATAGTAGTTTCATGTGACACTGAGAAGAAATCTGGCTAAAATGTAAAATAAAATTATTAGATATGATTACAAATTCTACATTTAATTTTATGAATTCTATGAAAACTACTAACATGTAGCAATTCTGATTCTTCCATAAATATATTAATATATATTTAATATCTCATAAAGCATTGTTTCAAAAGGACAAACATTGTAAAATGGTAGACTGGTTTCTCACCAGTGTTAAAAGCAATTTAGTCTTTGTCAAGTGCATCTATATTGGTGGTATAGACTTCGGAGAAATTTTATAAAACAACAAATTTTTAAATCCAAATTAAAATAAAAATATTGCTCATTGATTTCATAGCAGTAATAAAATAAAATGCACAAAACCATATATGATATGAGATCCCCTTGCTATTATACGGCAGCTGCAACTAATATTAATTTCCCTTTTTGTAGCATCAAGTACTTGAACTTCTGGCTGAGCTCCCTAGTTAGAGATGTTACTAAACATCCACATATCTAGGTTTTTTTTTTTATGATGGTGCTTACTTTTTCTTTACTTTGTAATGTAGGGTTAGTTAATTGGAGGACAACATATAGGGTAATTTCTTTTCTTGGAAGGATTTGGAAATTGATACTTACTGCTTTGAAATGGCTTTAGAAGTGTCAGGAATCTCTTAAGCTGGCAATTTTTCCTGAAGACATTTGTTTGAGAATATTTGCCAGCAAGTAAAATTGTAAAAGGATCTTTGGAGAAGAGCCACTTCAAGCTTTAATTTCACCAATGAGAAACCTGAATGATTAAATTATTTAATAAATTTTACATATTTCAGACATCTTGTATCTCTATTCCAGATCTAGAGGCCAGGGTTATGTTCAACTCATCAATCTTTTCACTCTTCCACACACTCTATAGTATTATTATAGTTCTTTATCCAATATTGGCACTAACTGTATATTTTTCTTTAATAAACTTGGGAAAATAGTAGAAAGCTGGAACTGGACCAATCTAGTAGAAAGCTGGAATTGGACCAATCTACAGAGTACTTTCAAGAAACTGAAACTTGTAATAATTCAGTCATTTCATTCATTGCAGTCATTTCCACTTTTACAAATATGTGAGATAATTGTATTGTGGAATATGATAGTTATATATATTAATTTATGTAATAAAAACTATTTTTTGGCTACATATCTGACAGAATATAACATAAAAATAAAGCATTCATTACCAGAAAGCCACTGATAGGCAATTTCTGTTTCAATACCCGAGCAATTCTGATTCAATTGCATATTTTCTTATAAATTTCCTGAGTAAATGAGATACAATTCCATTAAACTTTGTTGTAATTTTGGTACTTAGGACTTTTAAAATATGTTGAAAAAAATCATCACAGTGATTTACTATAGGGCATAGGGATACTTTATTTCTTTCCCAACATACTCTAATGAATTGCCAATTTCTCTTTATTTATATATTAATTTATATTGAGGTAGATATTTTATCATTTTCACTGGATGTGCAACTAATGATAGAGATGATATATGTTTGTGGATATCAGTAAAATTTTCCTGGTGAATTCTCAGGTTCTATGACAACATTTAACAGTAAACATTTAGATTAGACATTTAGGTACATTACGATTCTTAGGTTTTATAAGATTTATTTATTTAATAAATAACTTGAATCTTAATCCAAATATGTGGCACTTAAAGGTGTAACAGTCCTCATAGAATTTAGCTAGTAATAAAATAAAACAACACAACAGAAGACTGCAAAATTGAACTATAATATTAAAAGTTGGACCAAGGGGAAGGAAACAATACTAACAATGGGATTATCTTATAAGATAGCCCCTAAAGAATAAGAAACATAAATAAAGAAATGAGGAAATGTTTCATTATTTTTTATTTGCTTAGAAAGGCAAAATATTTGAAAAAAAGTAGTGCTCATTTTTTTTAGCTCAACATTAATTAATAGAATGAAAATATGTGAAAGGGTTGTAGTCTTTTGTTAGATCAGTTTTACAAAAGTGGCTGCAATGCATGATGAGAATTTAAAAAGCTGCTTTTATTTTCTGAGAGCAGGAAGTCGGTGCATGCAGTGAAGGAGTGACCTCAACCATATGAGGCTATTGTTAGTATAAGGAATCATGAAATACATTAGGCTGTGTAAGTAAACACATTAAAAGTGAAAATAAAAGAAAAAAATTTTAAGTGTTTCAATATCAAAACAAAATAACACATGGCTTTCCTTCACTAAGACTCACCAGTCTTTGAGGCAAAGATGAACTTATGAAATATAAAGAAAGGTCGCTCAAGCAGCCGAGCATCTTCATGAGACCGGACTGTAGCTGTGGTTTTAAATGAGGGCCTTTTGAGCCAGGACATGCTTTGCTTCAGTGCTCGGAAGAGCAACTTTGTTTGAAGGTGACCTAGGAAAAGACGCCATATAAAGAGCCCTGTTCTGTTAATGCTTCCAGAGTGATAAAGATATCAAAGTGCTAAAAACTTATTAGAAATTCAGTTCACTTTCAACTGCTCTACAAAATTTATATATCCTGCCATCAACAAAAGGATCAAGTGAATTGTGAAGATTTGGTACTTAGCCAACATGTAATCTTTGCTAAATTATATATATATATATATATATATATATATATATATATATAGAGAGAGAGAGAGAGAGAGAGAGAGAGAGAGAGAGAGAGAGAGAGAGAGAGACATTTATTTCCCAGAGAAGCTCTCTTGTGTGACTGGATCAAGATCTATAATTTTAATGTTAATTGTGAAAAGGACATTAAGTTATATTCTCAGAAATGTTAAGATGGTGTTAAAAGCAAAACCTTAGCTGAATTAAATTTAAAAGACTTTAATTGAGCAAAAAACAATTTGTAAATCGGGCAGCCTCCCAAGCCAGAGCTGGCTCAGAGACTCCAGCACATCTAGGTGGCAGAAGATTTATGGACAGAAATAGACAAGTGACATACATGGAACTGAGGTACAGAAACAGCCAGATTGGTTGTGGCCAGGTGTTTGCGTTGTTTAAACACGGTTTCAACAGTTGGCCATGTTTGATTGGCAAAAACTCTATTGTCACAAGAGTAGGCTACAGTGTGTTTATGACCCTAGCTTACAGTTCATGATGTACAGAGAAACCTTTAGGCTGAACTTAAAATATGCAAGGAGGCAGCTTTAGGCTAAGCTTGATTTAACCATGGTAAATTTTATTCTATGTGGTTTTACTATAGTAAATTAATAAATACAATATAAAGTTTAAATTATACATTTAAATATGTTGACTTTAAACTATATTTTCCAATTATTGATGTATAGTGGAGACTTCTCTTTCAGTAAAAGTTCTTAGAAGTTCCACATGATGCTTTGCCGTAACTACAATACATCATCTGTAGTTTCTGGTTCTATTTAAGTTTTCTTTAACTTAAAGACCTTTGCAAAGGAATTTTAATGACAAATAGTTTTAAATTTTACTTTTCCCCCTAAATATTTTACAGTAATCTCATCTATATCAGATTTAACAGCAGCTTTTAATTTTTTTTCGGGGCTGAACAATTTAATATTTGAACTCCACTTAATTAATTGAACTTAGATTTTTAAGGAAACAAAAGCCATCATTTGTCAATTACATTTTTCATTCACATAACACTTTAATAAATTATGTAAGTAGTCAAATAATTCAACTTCAAATATCATGGGGATTAAGTTTCAGCAGATGAATTTGTATAGGCCGTAGGACACAAATATTCAGTACTAGGAGTAAGAGAGAATTTATTATAGTTAGCCACAAAGTATAAACCTAAATTTCACCAAGAATGAGCATTTGATAACATTCTTAAATTTAATTGTCAATACACCCACCTTTTCCTTCTGTACTTTTCCTTCTGTACTTTTAAAGTAATACCAAATCAGCAAACACACTTAAAGTTTTTACTTAGAAACATTATCTAATTAAAATTATTCAATTACAAAAGAAGAACCTCAATCTAACATTTTTTTTCTAATTCAATAGATTTTTCTTTCTTTTTAATGCAAGAAATATTTGAATTTAAAAGTAGTGGTCTGCTATAGTTTGTAGTTTTCAAATTTAGTAGCTGTCCATTAGTTTAACAAATGACTGATAATTCATGAATGTGTAAAATGATTTGTTCTACATGTCCTTACTATTTTTGTTATCTAAAAATGCCTTAGTCAGAAAAGACTGACAGTATGGGCGTAGGGTCTGAGCAAACTGATCCTTGACTTATTCTAATTTCATGGTTTTTTTTTTTTTTTTTTTTTTTTTTTTTTTTTTTTTTTGAGACGGAGTCTCGCTCTGTCGCCCAGGCTGGAGTGCAGTGGCGGGATCTCGGCTCACTGCAAGCTCCGCCTCCCGGGTTCACGCCATTCTCCCGCCTCAGCCTCCCAAGTAGCTGGGACTACAGGCGCCCGCCACTACGCCCGGCTAATTTTTTGTATTTTTAGTAGAGACGGGGTTTCACCGTTTTAGCCGGGATGGTCTCGATCTCCTGACCTCGTGATCCGCCCGCCTCGGCCTCCCAAAGTGCTGGGATTACAGGCGTGAGCCACCGCGCCCGGCCGACTTATTCTAATTTCATGGTTATTAATGTAGGTTGGCCAATCTTTGTGGGGGATTTTTTGTTTTTTATTTTTTGAATTATTTATTTTATTAAAGCCAAAATTGACAAAGCCTTCCACTCAAAGACCTTTATGAGATAAGGTCCACACTACACGGAGGAAAAACAAAGAGAGTGGTACACAAATTGAGCATAATGGGGAGAATGGAGGTAAAGATCAAAAGAGTGTGGGTAGGGAGTGGGGCAGGCAGGACATCAGAGCCAGGAGAAAACCACAGAAGAGGAAGTATGTGAGGTAGAAGAAGCTATTCTGAAGATAGCCTCCTCCAAAAAGTTTAGTAAAACTAAATTCACATAAACTCAAGCCTCAGAAAAGTTTTTAAGTTAAAATCTCGAACAAGTTAATGTAAGTTAAAATAGAAAAAAAGAGCAGAAAGTAAGTGAAATGCTGTAGTTGGTGTGCTCTTTTATTCTACTTAGTTAATGGTTGCTGGTACTAAGCAATACCAATGATATATTCTTTCTGCCTCTACCTCTGCATGTTATATGCCTGTATTTCTATACCAGTAGTGTTTTTCTTAATGGTTACTTAGAATAAGAGTGTAAAGAAGACCAAAAAAATAAAAACTCAGCAAATGCATTTTTATTAACTAGGAAATAACTTACTTATAGTTAAAATTAGCTATTTCATGTATATCCTGAGAAATGTTAAAATATGAATCAAAGAGGACACCTTGTGTCGGTGAGGGGGAGGCTGCTCCCCAAATCCCTAATCCACTTGACTGTTAGTGTTTCAATTTCCTTTGAACAGAGGAAGAGGAGTCTGAATTTATTCATTCCCACTATTCGCAGTCTTTCCCACATTATACCTGCAACTGAATGCCTTGAATAATTAGATGCTACAAGGTCCAAGTCAATGTGGCAAGTCTAATCCATGAAAATACATAGTTTACTTATCTGGTTTATAAAAATAAATAAATAAATAAATAAATAAATAAATAAATAAATAAATAAATAAAGTGAAAATACCCTGTGTGATTCTCAAAAAGTTCTTGATGGTACAAGTCAATACAATCTCTATTTGTAAAACGTGTTCTTGACTCAAGATCGTATCTTTTATCAATTGCACAACTCCTTCCCAGACTCTTGTATGGGTTAATGCCTTAACCCTACTTGACTAGGTTCTTTTTTTTCTCTTAGCTTACATTATTTTGTAATATAAACTATGTAAACTTTGGGTAATTTTATTTCTGCAAACTGAAAATCTTCCCCACACCTCTCCACCTTACTGACTACAGCAACTCAGCACAGTGTTCAAATGTATGTATACTTTCAGGCCTAAAAATTATGTTATTTATATTTGGTCTTTATGCCAAAATTAATATATTGTTTTTTACATTACTATGTGTATAAACCTACATGGTACCATATTTTAAAAAATACAAAAATTTCTTATTATTTTTCTTATAGCTCTCCATTATTGACCTGGATAAATTTGTTTGCTTTGTAAGAATTTGATTATCTTCAAAATTAATAGCAAACTGTAAACTCTATCATCTATGAGAATCTACCAAGGCGTATAAACTTTGTAGGTCCATGGTTTACTTAATTAGGTTATTTTCACAATTCTGTTCTCTGTTTTTTTTTTCTTTTTTCCAAAAATATTACCAAGAAAAAGGAAGACACTCTGTGGGAAAATCATGAGACTCATATGATACTGACAAAATATATTAATGTACTTGCTCTCATCCACAGTTTTGCTTCTTGTGATTTCAGTCATCTGCAATAAAGTACAATAAGATATTTTTAGAGACCACATTCACATAATTTTTATTACAGTATATTTTTATAATTATTTTATTATTATCGTTTTTTATTTTTTATTATGCTGAATTTATAAATTAAACTTTATTACGTGTGTATATATACATTGGAAAGAACATAGTATATAAGGTTTGGTGTTACTCATAGTTTTAAGCATTCCCTGACACTCTTTAAATGTATCCCCTGCAGATAAAGGGAGACTTCAGTAATTCTGAAAGAAGAAAGTATAAGTGATACAGGTTATGAGTCAGTACAACAGTGTACTTAGAGCCTACCATGAAATAAATGTTTAAATAGAAAAGTATCCAAAAAATCATGAGAATTGCGTCCATATCCAGGGAATGTTCTATACAAATGTGTGACCAGATCTTATTTTAATATAGCTTATTTAATTTTTACAGTAAAACTTTGTTACTTATTCCTCAACATAGAACAATTTGGAATAAATCATCAGAAAAGGAAAATCACAATAAAGTTGGTTGAGGCATACATCTGTTGTTTTTACATTCTAGCAGAGAATTTTCAAGATAATGGGTTATAAACCATATCATACTGAAGGAGGATATTGTGCTTGCACCTGGTGTGTCCCGAATTCTTGTCTGAGAGGAATGAGGTCACGTGGACAAATTGAAGGATGGTAAATGTGGAAAATTTTATTGAGTGATGAAAGTGACCCTCAGTAGAGAGTGGAGAGCTGGAAAGGGGATGGAAAGGAAAGCCACTCTCCCCTGAAGTCAAGCTGCCTCTCTGCCTCTCTCTTCTGAAGACAAGTTGTTTCTTCCTGACATGCAGCCACTTCTTCCTCTTGTCCAGCTGCTTCCCCTCTCTGCTGGCTGAGTCTGGGGTTTTTATAGGCACAGGATAGGGCAGGGTAGGCCATTGGTAGTTTAGGAAAAGGCAACATTCAAGAAGGAAAACAGTGATAGAAATTCTTACTTTGGCCTGCAGGTTTCAGGATTTTTGTCTTGAAGGTGGGGTTTTGCCAGGGACTCACCATTTTCTGCCTTGAATATCTCTGCCTCCTGCTTTTATTATTGTATCAATACTAGCACACAGGTTTTGTTCAGCTTACACTGTTTTTGAATCACAGTGTGTTTAAAAATGGAATATATCACATAAATATTTATCTATCTGTCTATTGCAAGAATTCTATTCTTTCCTGATAAACATTAAAAGTTTTGTGAGCATATTTCTTTTTTTTCTTTCTTTCTTTTTTTTTTTTTTTTTGAGACACGGTGTGTTGCTGTGTTGCCCAGGCTAGAGTGCAGTGGCCTCAATCATCACAGCTCACTGCAGCCTTCACCTCCTGAGCTCAAATAATCATTTCATCTCTGCCTTCTGAGTAGCTGGGACCACAGGCATGTGCCACCACACTGGCTCATTTTTAATTTTTATTTTTCTATAGACATGAGGTCTTGCCTAGTTACCTAGGCTGATTTCAAACTGTTGGGCTCAAGCCATCCTCTCACGTTGGCCTCCCAGTTTTGGGATTACAAGTGTGAGCCACTGCACCTGGCCTTGTCAACACATTCAACATGATGACAGTCAACTTGAGCTGAGATGCTGCTGTTTTAGATGGGCCATGCTCCATGGATCCCATGCTCCCTTTTCCTCCAACATTGAGACTATTTTCTGTTCATCTTTACTGCCTTGAATTCATGACCCTTAGTCTACAGAAGGTGTTTGAGAGTATGAATATTAATTTCAAACTACTATTTCTACTTCTTCAGGTGAAGAAATAGTCAATGATAATTGATACTTTTAAGAAGGTGCACTCTTTCATAATCAATAAAACTTTAAATTAGCCTTAGTAGCATTAAATGGCACCTTTGAATTAAGTTTTCAACAAAACAAATAAAAATTTTCTGTTTAACTAAGGTAATCAGAAAATTCAATTAACCTGGACTATTGAATAAACACTAGCATTATTAAAATGTTTATTTTTTAGGAATAAATGATGTATTCAACATACAAGTCAATTTTAAAAGTAACATTTCTATAAGAAAAATATATCTTAAGTTTATTACAATTATATATTTCAAATATATTTTGTTTTAACGTTAAGTGTAAAATTAAAATAGTCTAGTTTGAATATATAGATATGTATTTAATTATTAACTATTTATTAAATTTCTAACATACATATCATATCATTTAGACACATCAAACCTCCTGTGAATATCCAGACTGTTCAGGGTATAAATTACTCTAAATAAGTGTCATTTTAAAACTGCTAACAATGTTTTTTCACAATTCATTTAAATGCAGATTATCATTAAGAATTTTCATTATTAGGGTGTGCTGTAATAAAATTAAGACTATACATCCTACTGATGTGAATAAGTTTCTTATTTGAATGATCCTGGACTATTGTGATTTCAGGCTTTCTAGATATTATTTATACAGAGTATTCTTTCAATTTTACATTTAACTCCTACTTCTCATCTTCTCATATGCCAGAACAATTATTATTTTCTACCACTGAGGCTCTTTAAATTTATACAAGTAATACATTTTTACTATCAGTATTGTGATATAAAGACTGTCATTGAGAGTCTTTTTGACTGTCTAGCACTCTGTTAATGAGTTTGTAAGAAAACATGGACAAATGTTGTGTTAGTGCACCAATTTTTGCTTTAAATTATGGTTTTTCTATAATAAGAGTGTGAAGAAAGTTTTGGCTTCTAAATTTGGAATTATGAAGCTTTATACTTATTTATTTACACTAACAAGATTAAGGATAGAGGAAGTGTGCCTTGAATGTAAAGCTAGAAACAAGACAATACAATTTAAAAAATTACAAAATCTAAGTGTTTTGAGCTTATACTTGTGCCTACTAAACTGCTCCTCAAACGGCAGAATGATAAAGTAGAAAAGTAAAAATGCTGAAATGTGGAGACCTTTGTGGGTTTTTAATTTTGTTTGTTTGTTTCGAGACATGTTGTCACTCTGTCACCCAGGCTGGAATGCAGTGGCATAATCATTATGGTGGCTCACTGCAGCCTCCACCTTCTGGGCTTAAGTGATCCTCCCACCTTAGCCTCCTGAGTATCTGGGACTGTATTGCATGGGCTACCATGCCTGGCTAGTTTTTATTATTATTATTTGTATAGATGAGATTTATCTATGTTGTCTAGGCTGATCTCAAACTCTTGGGCTCAAGCAGTCCTCCACCTTGGACTCTCAAAATGCTGGGATTACAGGCATGAGCTATTGCCCCACCAAAGACCGGACTTTGAATCTTCGGTATGATATTTACTAACAAGGACCATAAGGAAGATATTTAACATCTCCTACCCTTGATTTACCTACCTGCTAAGTGAACAGAAGAAAGACCTCATAAGTTTGTGAAGATGAATAAATTTTGTCAAAATGAATAAACAAAATAATGAAAATCAAAAAGAAAACTCTAAGGTGTACATTTAGACAATTGATTTATTTTGCTCTTTTTAAATAGAAGTTTTTAAAAATAATTGCCTGACATTTGCAGTGTTAGTTGTATGTGCTGACAACTTGAAAAACCCACGTATCATCTTTTAGTCTCTTTCAGTAAAGTATTGTTTACAATCCTTATCTGTTGAGGTATTACAAGGATTAGTATTTGTAAAATGTTTTAAAAGCCCTTTGTTAGGTATAAAAATCATTGCACTAGCATTTTTCCTAATCCACAGTAAGAGATATGCATGGGTGTTTATTATTAAGTAAATGCTCTAGATAATCCAATTTAGTGAGATTGTAACGGCTGACTGGTTAATACAAATTCTATTCCTGTAATACCTATTGATAGGGAATTTTATATGAGGAAGTGAACAAAAAGAGTTGGTGTAATAAAGCTGGGGTCTGAACAATAGAGCTCAAGATGATTATCTATAAATAATCTGAAAAGATATTTTATTTGATACACTACAGGTGCATCTTTTTCCTGATCCTGATATTTAGAATTAAAACTATCATAAACAACAATTTTAACTAGTTTTTAGGCTCAGATAAGAATGACTCGGCCGGGGCCAGTGGCTCACACCTGTAATCCCAGCACTTTGGGAGGCTGAGGCGGGTGGATTGCCTGAAGTCAGGAGTTCGAAACCAGCCTGGCCAGCATGGTGAAACCCTGTCTCTATTAAAAATACAAAAATTAGCTGGGCGTGGTGGCAGGTGCCTGTAATCCCAGCTAATCAGGAAGCTGAGGCAGGAGAATTGCTTGAACTTCGGAGGCAGAAGTTGCAGTGAGCTGAGATCGTGCCATTGCACTCCAGCCTGGGCAACAGAGTGAGACGCTGTCTCAAAAAAAAAAAAAAAAAAAAAAAAAAAAGAAAGAATGACTCATGCATCCATATATCTGATTATTCCTATATCCACCATTTTACATTTTACCATTCATAGAAATCCTTGACTCCTTACTTTGTTAACAAATTGAACAGTGATTAAAAATACAACATAGAAATGAAAACAGTAGAAATTTTAAGTCAAAAGAAAATTTAATTTCTTAAGCCTAACCAAATATTAAACAAGAACTAAATAATTCTATAAAATTGGTTGTTAGTAATTAAAACAATAACAATAACAACACTAAGTTCCCTTGTAGGGATAATATGGAAATAGAATTATCAAATTTATACAATAAAATGTATTTCATTTTAGGTTTCAAAGAAGAAAGTGGAAAGCAAGCTTAAGGCACTAGCAAGCATCAAGTAGAATAGAACATTGCAAAGGCAAAAGGTGAAAATAGCTTTATCTCTCAGACACAAACAACTATCTCAATCTCTATTTTGAGTGTATCATTGGTGATTTCAAATGTGCAGAAAGAAGCATTCTTAATCATTACTTGATCATGAATATAATTTCAGAAATAATCACCTTAAAAAGCAGGCATCTTCACCCAAAATTAAGGCTTACGTTAGTATAGTAATGTTCAATCTGCATGGAAACTGGTCTGAGATAAAAGAAGTTAAACTGAACATCAAGAGAATTTTGCTCTAGTTTCATGCTTTTCAGTATTTGAGTGATCTTGGAACATTCTTTTACCTTCTCTGCCTCAGTCTTCTCATGTGTGTCAGGGATGATAATAGCTATATCCTCTAAAATCTAAATTACTAGATTGTTGTTGTAATATAGTGATATAATGAGTAACCAACTGCTTAAAACCTGAGTATAATGTGTACGTTATTTAAACCTGGTACTCATTCATTTTATATCATAGTAACACATTTGCCAGTGTCTTACAGCTTATTATTGAAAATGAAGCTGTTATTAGCCATCATTGTCCATGTCTTACATTTGATTGCATTTAAGTTAGCAACTGACTAAAGGAGGGAAAACTACTAACTGGACAGTAAGTAATATGAAATAAAAGTAACTCTAGCCAGTGTTTCAGAGGAAGCAATAAAAAATGAGAATTGTGTGGCTAAATTTGCAAGTATGTTCCCCACAGCATTGGTAACAATATGGGAAATAAAGACAGTAAAATCTAGATGAAGACAAATAAAAGAAAAATGTCAAATTAAAAAATTAAAATGGTAGTTAGTACCACAACCGATTTTTAATTATTTTCGTATGTATATACAACGATACTTTTTAGGTATATGGACATATGTGTACTTATGCATATATTCATGTATAAATATACACATATGTATATGTGTATGTGTGTATAAAAATCCCTGTGTGTACTGTGTTTCTGTGTGTATGAAGGGATTTCACCTTAGGCAATTGTGTAAACTGGTTACACAGTCTCCATAAGGTAAAGTTAATGCTACCAGGACTGATGTTGGAGCTTGAAGTTAGTAAGACAGACCAGTAAGGAAGAGAAGATAAATTGGAAGAGAAAACTACAGAATGGAATCCGTAAACTCAAGCTGAAGCTCACATGGATGGGCTGAAACATGCTTCAGTTCTATTCACATCCTTAGACTTGCTGGTGCCCTGCAGACGCTGGCACCTAATAAATTAGGCTAAGTGCACTCTCACTTCTCCAAGAGGCAGAAAAGCTGAAGAAGGATCAAGGAGAAGGTAGAATATTTGTAGATATGGACATTGCCTCACCCTAATAGGTGAATCCGTTGATAAACAACAAAATGTGGATAAACAACAATACAATATGGCTGAGTCTTTACTTCCACCCTCCAAATCTCCCACTAAAATTTCATCTGAGGCTCATGCTAACCAGAAGCATGTAGGAGAGACAATTCTGAGAAATTCATCGCAGACTGAGTTGACACATTACAAAACTACAACTTAATACAGGTAACTTCGACAGTATACTTCCACTCCCCTGAATTTGTCTCTCTGTTATTACCATAAATTTTACTGCTAGATATGCTACAACTCATATAATTTTTTATTATTTTTGCTTTAAAGCAGAAAATTTTATTTTAAGACTTTATAGAAAAATGGAAAAATGGTTTGTATTTAACCTATTTTTTGTGCTCTCTATTCTTTTGTGTTGATGCAAATTTCCATCTGGTACCATTTTATTTCCTCCAAAATTATTTCCTCTGACATGTTTTCTGGTAAAATTTCTTGACTTTTGTTCTGAAAAATTATCTTAGCTTTGATTTGTATTGCAATAAATTCTCCTAAGTTTTATTCACCTGATAAAAACATCCTTATTTTAAATTTGATCTTAAAATAAGATTTTGCTTAGGAAATAAGTCTACATTGACATATTTTTAGTACTTTAAAATGTATTTATATGGCATACATAGTTCTGATAAAGAGTATACTTCAATTTTTATATTTGTTCCTCCATAAGTATTTACAAAAGACAAATAGATATATAGGTTGAGGCATAAATAAAAGTAGATATATTTTCTAGAGTACTGAAAATCTGAATGTGTATATATACATGTGCATATATTTGTATACAGTGAAACGGTATAGTATCCATTGGAGGTAGATTGTGATAAGTTCGACATATTTTGTAAATCTCAGAGAAGCCACTAAATAAATGACATAAAGGAGTATAGCTAATAAGCTGAAAAAAGTCATTAAACAAAGTTGTCTAAAATCAAAGATAGATGAAAAAAGAAAAAAGAATAGATGGGGAGAAAATAAAACAAGTAGGTGCCAGATAACAAAGCAGCCATATTATTATATATAAATAGTTTAAATCTCCATCTAAAGGCAAAGATAACCAAAATAGAAGAGAAAAATGAAGCCAAACCCCACTGTACGCTGACTACAAAACCCATTGCTTCTTCCAGGAAAAAATATTTCTATATATTGCATATAAATATTTACATTATAATGAGCATGTTTCCAGTAGTATTAGGAAACATAGATGTGCAATAAATTATTAAAATGTGGGTTTCAGCTAAGGCTTTAAAATAATGTATCAGATACCAATATGATACAAACACAAGATACCAATATGCTTTGCCAGATAAGCCACATGTAAATTGGGATGATATTCAGTGCAAATGTACAGATATGCAAATAGCAGTTGTTAACAGTTCATTCTGGTTGGTGGTACCCATGGACTCCTGCTTAGTAAATACTTTTAATATTAATCTTGCCTCTAGGGCTGGCATAAACCAGATGTCAAAAAATAGGCTAGATAATTTTTTTTTTTTTGAGACAGCCTTCCTCTGTCACCCAGGCTGGAGTGCAGTGGCGCAATCTTGGCCTACTGCAGCTACAAACTGCTAGGCTCAAGTGATCCTCCTGCTTCAGCCTCCCGAGTAGGTAGGACTACAGGCATGAGTCACAACACCTGGCGATTAAGAAAAAAAAATTAGAGATAAGGTCTCACCATGTTGCCTAGGCTGGTCTTAAACTCCTGGGCTTAAGTGAACTTCCTGCCTTGGCCTCCCAAAGTGCTGGGGTGACAGGTGTGAGCCACTATACCTAGCCAATGATTTTTATATACATATAGGGCTTAACCAATCAAGAGACAATATTGAAGGATTTATATTTGAAGACATTTTATTTGGCAAACCCTATGCATTGAGGTTACCAAAACAGGTGAAGGATAGGGTGACTTAATTTATAGTAGTTCTCTTGAGGGCAATTTTACTTTAAGGGGACTTTTGGCAATGATTAGAGACATTTTGAGCATCATGACTTAGACAGGTGTATGTTACTGGCATACCCCATCACAGTGGGTACACTGTGAAATATTCTACCATGCACAGGATCAGCCCCAGTTCCCACAACAAAGAATCATCAAGTCCAAAATATTAACTATGCTGAGATTAACTATGAGATTAATTATGAGAACCCTGTAAACCCTATGCCTAAAGAGGCTTGAATGATATCATTAAGAATGCATTAAATCTACTCCTTGCATTTTGGAGGGCAGAATGAACTATGAATTATTCCTGAAAGTCTAAAGAGAAAGCATACAGCTGAAGCTGTCCATGGGGGTAAAAGAATGGCTATAATTTAAAGTTACTGCATCTCAGAGTCTGTTGGAGAAAGAATGTCTGTGTGTCTTCTGCTGCATATCTGTGTATCTCATACCCAAAAGAGCAAATTTGAGATTGTTTTAGATCCGAGAAGACTACTTGGAAGAGGAATTGGTCCTCAGCAAAATGAAGCTGTAAGTGTATTACAGGAGGCATATGAAAAAAAGATGTTGTTTCATATGATAAGATAGAGACAGCTAAGGTCATTTGCTTAAAAGGAACTTCTTTTAGTGAAGAAGACATTTGTAGTAAAAAGGGTGACTGTGACTAAAATTAACCCCCTAGGCTCCTCAGAAAATGTCATTTTTGAACATCTACTGATGCCAAGCTGCATTCATGTCTATCAAATGAGGCCCTTCCTGTCCCTTTCTACTTTCCCCTTTTGACTTTCCAGACAGCAAGAGTTCAGGGATTATAGTTAAGAAGTTGGAAGAGGAAGAGTAGATGTGCAAGTTGGAGAGAAAGGAAGATACTGACTACACTCTATCTCTGAGTGAAGTCTTCTCCATTTACAACAAATCAGGCTGGGTTGGTAGGCGGGAGGTGGGTGGGGACATTTCAACTTTCACTGAAATTTACAACTTAGAAAATTAGGAAGGATTGGACATTTTAATTACTTGCCTGAGGGTTTTTTATAACCCAAGTCTGATGAAAACACAAGGGCTACCATGTTTCATCAGGATATGGGGACTGAGTAGCCTTACGGAATAAATGTAAGGGAGGCAATGTTGGGGAGAACAGCTTTCCTTTGTTTATAATTATAACTTGCAAATTATGTTTTGGTGATATGCAGATTGCACCATGTGAAGAGAGAAATCACTGACTCCTACGGGTGTAAGAATTTAGAAAGTATCTAAACTTTGCCTTTTAAATGTTAAATTAAAAACCAAGGCCAGGCACGGTGGCTCACGCCTGTAATCCCAGCACTTTGGAAGGCCGAGGTGGGTGGATCACGAGGTCAGGAGTTCAAGACCAGCCTGGCCAATATGGTGAAACCCCGTCTCTACTAAAAATACAAAAAGTAGCTGGATGTGGTGGTGCACACCAGCAGTCCCAGCTACTTGGGAGGCTAATGCAGGAGAATCACTTGAACCCGGGAGGCGGAGGTTGCAGTGAGCAGATATTGTGCCACTGCACTCCAGCCCGGGTGACAGAGCAAGACTCTGCCTCAAAAAAAAAAAAAAAAAAAAAGTAACATTTCCATCGTTGTTATAAGTATTTTAACAACTCTGTAAAACATAATTTATTTTAACAGGAATTTCTTACGGATGGGAAAACAAAACAATTTGGTAATTTATTGAAGACCATGTGATTAAAATGCAGAGTTAAGACTATAATCCAAATTTTCTGGTTCTAATCTCTTATATCTAAATATTGTTTTCTAATATTTTAACTCTTTGAGGCAATGAACTATAGCATATGTCCATTTGACACTATGCTGTGTTTTCAAAAATACACAAAACATGCTTTTAAAAAAAATTGGTATATTCTCAAGGATAATCAGAAACTGGCCTATCTTGAGTTTGCTCTCTCTCTGTAACACTTCGATCAACAAAATGCTTTATGCTCAGAGCCTTATATTACCCAAGAGACATGTCCCAAATAAGCACTGGTACCAGATGGGATTTCTGTTCTCATTTAGTGTAATCTCTCCAAAGGTAATCAGCATATAATGACCTTTGGAGGGGCTGGTGTTACTTTTGATAGAGTTTAAATCTGAATTCACTGCACACGTCAGTCTCATATTTTCCCCCACACTTCAATCACAGCCATCAAATTACTGTTTTTGAGTTCTGGAATGGTAAAAATCCTTACCCAAATCACGGTTTTTCCTTGTTCCCTCTGTTGAAGTAACACCATTTATTTTGAATCTTAAATTGTACCCTCAATAACATTCTGTGTTTTTCCTTTGCTGGAATCTAGTCAAAAGGGGTACACAGAGGGAAAGACTCTTCTTTGTAGTTCAGTGAAATTGTGGACCCTATCTTTTATAAGATGTTGTAAAAGAACCCAAAATAACACCAGTAAAACAATTGATAGGTAATATAAAGAACTAGGCCGGGCGCGGTGGCTCACGCCTGTAATCCCAGCACTTTGGGAGGTCGAGGCGGGTGGATCATGAGGTCAGGAGATCGAGACCATCCTGGCTAACAAGGTGAAACCCCGTCTCTACTAAAAATACAAAAAATTAGCCGGGCGCGGTGGCGGGCGCCTGTGTCCCAGCTACTCGGGAGGCTGAGGCAGGAGAATGGCGTGAACCCGGGAAGCGGAGCTTGCAGTGAGCCGAGACTGCGCCACTGCAGTCCGCAGTCCGGCCTGGGCGACAGAGCGAGATTCCGTCTCAAAAAAAAAAAAAGAACTAAATGACACCTGAGTGTATTCACTGTTTGCTTAGTAGCCCTGAACAGTTCAAAGGCTCCATTATTGGACATAATCAACCATCAAACAACACAGTATTTTAACCCATTTGCCTTATATTCATTTAACTCAAACGTTCCATCAGGAAAAAAAAAGGGGGGGCGGTCTTTCCTTTGGCTTATATTTCTTTTTAAACACCACTGAAAAAGCAATTTTAAATTAGGCTCTATTGTTTTATTATGCTGAACATAGCATTACCTCATAAAATGTCATGCGATTAAAAACGGTTCTTAAGACAATTAGACAGAGTCCAATAACCTCCCAGCCTGTATAAGTCTAAGATTATTTTTCATTAACATTTATGATGAAGAACTCCAAAGGACAAAAATCTAATATTTCTGTTTCCAAAACAAGCATCATCAATCTGTTTGAGTAATAATTATGTCAGTTAAACGGTTGCAAAAACATGTTTTTTTATAATAAATACCAAGATAAAAATAGTGGACAGGAAGTAGATTGATTGACATGTCTACTAAATAGACTAATACAAACTTTATTTTTATCTTACATTAGTTGCACACACCAGTTTTTTTCACTCCTTTTGAACAATACAGAAAACAGAAAACAAGAAAACAAAAAATACAGAAAATAAGAAAAATAATCTCCTTTTCATTAAGGCAAATGTAGGTAAAGCTGCAAAGTTGATCAAGTGTCTGTACATTTCTGTTTCTACTTCCTGCGTCTGTGGCTGCTCAGTGCACCCCTCTTTTCTTTATTCTTTCACAGGAGATACTTTTACCATCCCATTGTTTGCCTAGATGTATTTACTTTCTCGATAAATGCAGAGATAAAACAACGTATATGCACACCTTGCATGGTACAGGATGACTTCATAAAGGTATGAAGAGCTTCACTGCAGAAGAAACAATATGAAGTTTGCTTAGAACAAGAATCACAAATGTAGTTATCTCCAGGGTCCATGCCGATCGTAACTGAGTGAAGAAGGCTTACGGTACTTTTGTTTTCATGTTAAATCTTTGAAATGAAAACTTGACGTAAACCAGCATACTCATGCATTTTCCTTAAAGCATGAACCTTTAAATTTTATTTATCTTACTTTTAATATTTGAAAATATTAGAAAAATAGTTTCTACTCTAAGAATAGCAAAATATAAAAATATCATTTAAACTGATACTAGACAGAGTTTGGAGGAGTTCATAAAAGAATATAGAAGAATATTTGAACTGGAATTCACATGATCCTTTATTTAAAAACTGTTTCATTGTAAATCAACAAGTTATAGTTGGACTACAAAGTGATGTTATGAATACAATGTAGTATAATTAAATCAAGCTAATTAATATATCCATCACCACAAATATTTATCATTATTTTGTGGTGAAAACATCTGAAATTTACTATCTTCCTCTTTTAAAGGGGTAACCTTTACTCATCTCGAACATATGTTTTTCATGTAAAAATTTAAGACTGGATTGCTTGAGAGCCTAGGATTTCTAGAGAAGCCAAAAGTACAGATTTGAAATGAAAAAAAAAAAAACTCTTTTCAAAAACATTGTATTGCAAACTCAATTTTTAAAGCTTACATTACTCATATTCACATGTCTCTCTCTCTGGGTACATACATGCATGTTCATGTGTGCAGGCATGTGAACGTGTGTGTGCATGTGCGTGCTTATGATCAGATTTAGCCCACAGGCTAAGGATTTTCAGCTTCTGGACTTGAAAATTAATTTCATAAAACAAATTAAATCATGAATCTATTACCATCACAAGCAACATTACCCAACTTACTACTCTCTAATTTACTGAGTACATAGCTCACTAGCACTTAAATAAGCCAAGCATATATGTTACCCTTCCACAATTCACCGGTTGTCACCTGTTTAGGACCAGCTAAGGTAAAATGTCTAGTTGGGATGAATATTGAGCACGGGAAGGTTTTGTATAGCAGAAAGTAAAACAGGGCAAGTTGTTTGCATCCTGTTTTC
Source organism: Homo sapiens (assembly GCF_000001405.40). Classification (NCBI taxonomy): domain Eukaryota; kingdom Metazoa; phylum Chordata; class Mammalia; order Primates; family Hominidae; genus Homo; species Homo sapiens. The sequence continues at coordinate 55,957,197 of NC_000010.11, forward strand.
CTGTCACAGTAAATGTGTACTGCCATATTGTTGGGCATTTTATGCCATATGCAGAGAAAATGAAGAACAGAGAACTGAACATTTCTGAATTAATTCAATGTTTAATTATTGCAGTAAATCTAATTGAAGTATGATTTAATTCATTGTCTCATTTATGTTCTTGTGAAGATACTGATACTGAAAATATAATTCCTTGTCACACAGACTTCGGTGGCTTTCTTGGTTGCCAGATGTCTACTTGAATTTTTAACCTTTTATTGATGCATTACATATATACAGAAAACTGAATAAATTATAATTGTACAGTTTGATGAATTTATACAAAATGATCACCTGCTTCACCAGCTCTTGGATAAGTTACTGGGCATTTCTCAATTCCTACAGTAGCCTCTGTTGTGCTGCCATCCAGTTTACTTCCCTAAATTAGTAACCAGCACCCTGATTTTTAATACCATAGAGTAGTTTTCAAATCATCTGAACTTCAAATGTTGTGACTAGGTTCTTTCATTCAGTGTTAGATCTGTGAGATTAATCTGTATGATAGCATGTGGGTGTAGCTGGTTCATTATTATTGCTTTGTGATGTTTCCTTACATGAATACATCACCATTTATTTATCAATTTTCTCTTGATTGGACTTATGTAGTTTTAAGTTTTGACTTTTACAAGTGGTTCTGCATTCACATTCATGCATGTGTTTGGGGAACATATATGTGCATTTCCTTTAGGAAGAAAGTAGACTTGCTGGGCCATTGTCTGCTTGCTTGTCACCTATCTATCTGTCTGTCTATATCTATCTATCTATCTATCTATCTATCATCTATATCTATCTATCTATCTATCATCTATCTATCATCTATCATCTCTATCTATCTATCTATCTATCTATCTATCTATCTATCTATCTGTCTATCACCTAAGCTATCACCTATCGTTGACTATGACTTTCTAGTACTGCTGGTTTCCCAAATGCAAGAAGTTAATTGCACTATTTCAGACTGCCAAAGCAATGTATGAGTTCCCATTTCTCAATATTCTTCACAATACTTAGTTTTTAAATTTATCTTTGGTATTTTATTCATTCTAGTGGGTATGTGTTTTAACTTCAATTACTCCTGATGACTAATAAACTTAGGCAATACGTGATATTATTGCCCATTAGACTTATTCTTATTCTTTGGTGAAATGCCTATTAATGCATTCATGTGTTTAGCTCATACACACACACACACACACACACACACACACACACAGAGTATTGTGTATTCCAAATTGCATAAAAACATATCAATTTTTTGGCAATTTTATAAGAATTTGATTAATGAGTTAAACATAAGTAACAGCTTTTGTTAAATTTGTAAGGGCAGTCTACTCTTTTAAAAATTGTTTCCAAAATATTAGAAATCACTTTCAGTTGAACTTTTCTGTGCTTATAGTCCTCAAACAAAATTAAAGCTGAGGATCTCAGAAAGTATGCTTATCAACAGGAGAAAATTATAGTAAAAATGACAATTTAAATTTCAATTTACTTTATAATAATTTTGATCACTTAGTCATGTTTCAGATATTTTCTGAGAAACTAGGCAAAAGCCAATACACAAATTTTTACCCCGCTATAAGGAGAAAACTCAAACCAATTCAACTGGCATAACAACTCTCATTCTTATTTGTTTTTAAATTAGAAATCAATAAAGAGCATCATGATCTCTCCAAAACTGTCCCTGTTGCCATTATGAAACCCATTTCTGAGTTAAAAGAACCAAGGTCTCCCACAGTGTATAATTTTCTTAAGTTTTAATTAATGTGTATTTTCTACTTCCAGAATGTATTTGATTGCTAGAAGAGATAGGGTGAATGTAAGGTTAAGGATGCAATGGCTTGAATCCACATTGATTTTCTGTGAGCAAATCATTTCTGATGGTTTGTGATGATGAATTACGTCTCATTCAGAAAAGGAAAATATCTCCTTTGTCTCTACTGTTTTCTGACTGTTTGAAAAGCCCCCGTGTTAATAGATGTCTTTCAACCAAATGTAAACTGTCTGTAGTTCTAAACTTCATACTTGTAAAGGAAACACATTCATCTGGAAGAAAATAACTCAAGAAGAATTAAAGTAGATTTTTCTTTGACACACCCAACAGCAAGGTTAGTCTCAGATTTTCTGGGTTGTTAAAATTAATTAGCCTTGTTCTAGCAACTGGATACTTTGACAACTATGTTTTTAGAGCAGATATAGAATGGAAGCAATGGAATATGTTAAAGAAAAAAAATCTTCCTCCTTTAGAACTTATAAATTAGTTTATTGATTTTAAACATATTTTGGCATGATATGGAGGCTGGATTATTCTGCACATCACTCACAATAGACACTAGAATCCCATACCTGTTTTTATAGATTCACTTTATTTTGATTTGGTTGTTTTGTTTCTAGCTGTATTTTGGCTGGTTTTCTAAGATGAAAAATTTGCTAGGAAGATGACATCAGTTTCTAAATAGGTAGACTAATAAACGTGTGTAAACGTAAGAATGAATAAAATCTCCTTTTTATCCATGATATTTCTTGAGAGCAGAGTGCCAGGCATTGTAAGTTTATGTCATAGGGCCTGCTTGTTACTTAATAAATGACAGTAGAAAACAATAAGTTCATACACAGCTTTTGAATTTCAAAATTATTTTTTAAACAAAAGACAAAGCCAACAACTATAGTAGCTTTCAGGAATAATTTGTGGGTGTTCTTGATCATCACCCATTTCTATATACTATGTTCTACCATATAGAAACAAGTACTTCACATGAAAACAATGTGCTTGCTAGGAAAAAGCAATAGTTCTAACACAGAAACTACCATAAATAAAAGTATCCTAGCTGTTTTCCACCCAGCTAGTCACTCCATGCCCTCCTGCATAAAAACTGCGTGTCACTGAAAATACCCTGGAAAGAAAAACTAAAAGGTTTTATGAATTATAAGAACTTGGCTTTTGGTATATAAAAGCAAAAACTGAAGAGAATTAAGACATAAACTTTATACTGCCAACAACTGGCATGTTCTATCCATGTGACCAAGCTAGGTAAAGAAAGGTAATAGAGAAATGTAGGACAGAATATAGTATACTCTTTGGTTGGCTGAGAAAACTTCTAAACCTCTTGAACCTATTTCAGAAGTGAATAAAGTTAGAAAAGACCGAGAGATTGATGGAAATCTTGGATCAGAGAGGAATGTGCCTATTTCTTAGTTGTGGCATGGAATAGTAAGGTACTCCATACTTCCCCCTAAATTTGGATGTACAAGGGATGTTGTGGTCAGGTATGTTACCGCAGAACACAGTGCACCTGAGACAGACCATGAATCTCTTAAAGTCCATGCATGTGACTGAAGAAGAGCTAAAGTTTGCTGCGATGCTTTGAAGCACACAGGAATTTTTGAAAGGGATAAAATCAATGATCAAAAAGATTTATGGTCCTAAAAAGGGAAAGTTACAAAAAAATGCAGGATGGTATGTATGACCAAAGTAATATAAATGCACACACATCTCAGTAGATGCTATATCACTCAGCTATTGCCATGTAACAAATCATTCTTGATGCTTTAGTGATTAAAGCAATGGTGGGAATCAATTTTCACAGATCTGTGGGTTGGCTGGGGGTTATGGGGGTCTGGTTTATATTTATCTGACCTTAATTAGCAATGTTCATGAATCTGAAATTAGCTGGATATTTGGCTAGAGACTGGCCAGACTAGCCTATGATGACTCACTTGGAATGCCTGCTCTCATCCTTGTGTCTCTGACATTCTTCAAGTAGTCATGTTCTTATTTTGGTGGTAGATTCCAAGGAAGAAACAAAAATGGGCAAGCATATTTCCAAGGCTCTGCTTCTTTCAAGTATGCTGCTGTTGTATTGATAAATCAGCTCTCATAAGATGGGATTGTACAGTTACATGACAAAGGATGTGAGTAGAAAGGCATTAGTTGAAGATATTAATCAAGTCTACATCAGATGACAAAGGGGAATGCTGATGACAGTGGACAATGGTTTCCCACCAGACAGTAGTTTACAGATAGTACAAGGGCAAAGGAGGTATTTAAATTCCTTTAGCCCAAGAATTTAGATATTATATCCAGACAGAAGTTAGAGAAGACCAGGCTGAATTGAAAGAGTTAAACTTGAAAACTAAAAATAATATGTTTTCCTGAAAATTACTAAAATTTTCCCTACAAGTATAATGAAGTTACAAGATAGAGACAATGATAATTTATAGTGAAAAAAATAATGATTTTCAATACTAGGGTAAATGATCTGAAAAGTCTGAGTAGTACATCGTTTCCACATGTGTCTGATTTCATTGTAAAACCAAAGATTTAAATTTTTCTGTTAATTTTAATTGACCTGTGTGTACTTTACACAGTACTTTCACAAAACCAATGGAGTTCTGTGTAAATAAGTTGAAGAAAAGCTGGTTTTTAATGCTCTGAATTATTTTATAGTTATCTGATTTTACTTTTCAGCATTACCACCTATTTCAAAGCCTTATTATATGCCTATACAATTAAATCAGCTTTCTGTCTTTGTTTGATCTGTCCCTGGTCCAACATAGAGAGTTGTAGTAACAGTAAGTTAGCCCATGCACAGCGCTCACACTTGTGACTGACACATAATGACTTCAATTTTATAGTTATTATGATACTTAATATTAAATTAACCTCAGTCAAAATGCAACCTCATCAACAATGGCATTTTTACTTTTCTGCTTCTACAACTTCGCTGATTCTTTTTCTGCGGGACGAAATGTCACATGCATCATATTAATGTCATTCTTTCATCTCCCACTCAAGCTGCCCAGCTGAAATTCTGTCCACTCTTTAAGGTCCTCTAGGAGTGTCATTCCTCCATGAAATGTATCTTGCATAATAACTACCAGGGAAAGGATTTTCCTCTCTTCTGACATTGTATATTTCATTAGGTTTGTATATATACAAATATAATGTATGCAACCTTGGAAAAGAGGAAAATAGAAATCAAATGAAAAGATGACACATAGAACTAAATCTATTCTTAATTTATATATATATCTATTTTACCCACTGAATATTGAAAATAATTTTCCTAATTTATTTTATTATACTGCATTAGTCAGTGTCCTCTAGAAGGACAGAACTTATAGGCTAGATGTATATATAAAGGGGAGTTTATTAAGGAGTACTGACTCACATGCTCACAAAGTAAAGTCCCACAATAGGCCATCTGCAAGCTGAGGAGCAATGAAGCCAGTCTGAGTCCCAAAGCTGAAGAACTTGGAGTTTAATATTCAAGGACAAAAAGCATCCAGCAAGGGAGAAAGATGTAGGCTGGGAAGATAAGCCAGTCTAGTCTTTTACGTTCTTCTGCCTGCTTTTATTCTGGCCAGTCTGGCAGCTGATTAGATTGTGCTCCTCTAGATTGAGGGTGGGTCTGCCTTTCTCAGTCCACTGACTCAAATGTTAATCTCCTTTGGCAACACCCTTACAGACACACCCAGGAACAATACTTTGTATTTTTCAATCCAATCAATTTGACACTCAGTATTAACCATCATACATACTAAAATGTTGATTGACAGTTTCTTTTGAAATATTAGAAGAACCGAAGTCACTAGGATTGAATTCCCAAATATCAGGGCTTTCTAGTTTGCTACAGTCCCAATTATTCTCAACTGTATCAGAAGCTATTTACCATTGAAACTGTGCTCTTCATTTTCTACACTGAAGTAGATAAATATATTTATTGTTTCTATCAGGAATGAGAAATTTAAAAGGACATCAAAAGTATTAGGCATTTTCCTGAGGTCAGGAGTTCAAGACCAGCCTGGCCAACATAGTGAAACCCCACCTCTACTAAAAATACAAAAATTAGCCAGGTGTGGTGGTGGGTGCCTGCAACTCCAGCTACTCAGGAGGCTGGGGCAGGAGAATCTCTTGAATCCGGGAAGGGGAGGTTGCAGTGAGTCGGGATTGTGCAGTGAGTCAAAATACATTCATTCCATTCGACTAACCCCAAAATCTGAACTCATTCCAGCATCAACTCTAAAGTCCAAAGTCTCATCCAAATATCAATGTGAGCCTGGATGTCAGAATGAGACTCGATCTCAATAAATAAATAAATAAATAAAGTATTAGGTGTTTTGAAACAAGGGAGCAAGCATATTTCTTTGTGAGAGGAAAAATATTTTGTGCATGTATAATAAGCAAGCATCTGCTCTGCTACTCTCAAATGTTACTCCTGTAGGCATTTGATTTTGCAACCCATGCTCTGATGATACTAGTCACATATTGTCTCATTTTTCAAATATTCTGTGCATATGGTTCATGTCATCTTCTAGATTATATACTATCTGAGGATAAGAAATAATATTTTTTCATAATTGTAATGCATAGTTTACACTTAATACATGATTGCTTTAAGTAAATTTATATTGACAAATGGTTTTACCTTGTTCATATACGTGTGTATGCATGTATGCGTGTATATATGTTCATACATATACACATAGTAAAACAATAACATAAGTATTTGAGGATTGTAAATTTTATCCTATTTAATGTAGGGATTAAAGGAAATATTATGTGTCAGTTGTAACTGCTTTATAATAATAAATATTGTAATTTTCATTTCTCTTATTATTGCCACTTCTCAATTTCCATTTAGCTATGAACAATTTTGGTTTAGATGAAATTTTAGGTAGATGAAGTTCTGTTTAGTAATAGAATATAATATAGCCTTCTAACTTCTAATATCCATTTATGAGCCACCTCTCATTCTTTGGTAATACAATCCGTAGCCTTCCTTATCAACATCTCGCCCTATTGTGATGCTTTTGAGTAGAAAGTGAATCAAGGCCAGGTAAAATGCGGTGAAGTATATTTTTATTTTGGAAGTTTTTTAGCAAATGTGAGTGTGCTCCAGGCTCCCATAAGTGTGTTGAGGTGAAGAAACTTCTTCAATTTAGTATGACTCAACATTTTCCAATGTATTTGACTACAGAGGATTCTTTTTCATACCTATTGGAAATGAAGTCTGGTTCCATGTGGAGTATGTGTGTGCTTGTGTGTGTGTGTGTGTGTGTGTGTGTGTGTGTGTGTGTGGTATCTATCACCTTTACCATATGAACATAGCAAAATAACATTGCGAAAATTCAACTCATAGCAATGTATTTAGTTAATGTCATGAAGAGAATTTAGACTCTGGCTAAAAGGCAAAGTGAAGTTTAAAGCTAAGCCAATTATCTTGTAGCGTGACATATAAACACAAATAAAATATAGAATAGATTTTTGAAGTAAAAAAGTAATCTTGATTCTAAAGGATCCAAAATCATTATATAAGTTGACTAAACTATTAGATGAACCAATTATGGTTCATATTAGATGAATGAATGGTTCATCTAATAGTTTAGTCAACTTATATGGTTCATCTAACAGTTTAGCCAACTTATATAATGATTTTGGATCCTTTAGATATAATATGTCCATATTACAGTTTTATCTATTTTGATTTAGTAAGTGGAAAAACTATCTTTCTGTGTTTTTTAATAGTATTACACCTACATTTTATTAAGAAACATTTATAATTTGTCACAAATGTTAACGGCTATTTCAGAAGATACTATCAGTGGGAATTTCTAAAGAATGTTCCCTAAGGATGCTTCTATATTTATAAATTCTAATGATAAGAGAATTAGGGTTCTTTATAAAAACCAGGCATATGTCCAACTCAGTTTAGGCTGTTATAACAAATTACCATAAACTGAGTGGCTTAAGAAACACTGTGATTAAGAAATTGTGGCTTAAGGAATTGTGATTCTTGGGGCTGAGAAGTCCAAGATCAAGGTACCAACAATGTGGTGTCTGGTGAGGCCATGCTTCCTGGTTTAAAGACGACAGTCTTCTCCCTGTATCCCCATAGAGTGGAATGCAGAGAGAGAGGAAGTAAGCATTCCTGACTCTTTTTGTAAAGGTGCTAATTCTATCATTAGAGCTCTACCCTCACGCTCTCCTAAAAGTCCATCTCAAAATACCAACATATTGGAGATTAAAGTTTTAACGCATAAATTTTGGGAAGACATAAACAGTCAGTCTGTTTCATTCCACCTCTGTCTTCACAAAATTCATGTTCTTCTCACACTCAAAATACATTCATTCCGTCTACTAGCCCCCAAATCTGAAGTCATTCCAGCATCACCTCTAAAGTCCAAAGTCTCATCCAAATATCCATGTGAGAAGTATTTGTTGTTTAAGCTCTTAGCCTATGGTCTTCTGTTATATCAGTCCAAAGTGACTAAGACTAAAATTGGCATGAAGAAGTGGGGTGCTCCTATACCAAATATCTGAAAATATGAAATTGGCTTTGGAACTGTATAATGAATGGGAAGAGACTGAAAGAGTTTTGAGATACATGTTAGAAAAAGCTGACATTACTGTAAAGGGATTTTTAAAGATTATTCCAGTGAGCACTCAGAAGAAAAGAGAAAAGCTATAAAGAAAGCTTCTGTCTTCTTAGAAAATATGTAAATAATTGTGTACACAATATTGGTGAAATTAAGGGCAACTCTGATGAGGTCTCAGATGGAAGTGAGGAACACTTTATTTGACAATGGAGTAAAGGAGATCCTCGTTATAAAGTTGCAAAGAACTTGGCTGAATTGTGTTCACGTTCTCGTGTTTTGTGGAAGGTAGAATTTGCTAGTGATGGAATTGGATAATTTAGGTGAAGATATTTCTAAGCAAAGTGGTGAAAGAACAGTTTGATTTCTTCCGATTGCTTATAATAGCATGCAAAAAGAGAGAATTGAATTGGAGATATATATATATATGTATATATATATTATATATATATGAAGTAAAAATGAACTTAAGGATTCATAAAATTTTCGGCATGTTCATATTACAAAAAATGAGATAGTATGTTTGGAACAGAACACTAAGGGTGTGGAAAACTAACCTACTGAAAGATTAGTGTGGGTGTGAACCATAGAATAAATTAGCTATTTCAACAGAAGCCAAGAATAGAGATGGAATTATATCAGCAGAAATATTGCCAGCTGGAACTGAGGAAACAGCAAAAATGGGATAAAATACTGGAAGGCTGTGAATGTGTACAGTCCTTCAAGAAAAGAGAAGGATCCTAACGGTGAGTCACAGACCTTTGGACCACTGCCTAGGTTTCAACAGGACAAACAACCTCCAACAGAAACCTTAGAGTTAGGGCTGCCAGCTGAACCCTGGGGGAACAATTTTTACCTAGTGGAGCTGTGTGGGCAGGACCCCAGCCGACAGCCATATCATGCACAATGTCCCACTGAGCCTTGCAGGTAACAATGCTACCCCATTCGGCCTGAAGGGCAGAGCATCAAACCAAAGAGGATTATTCTCGAGCCTTAAGATTTTATAGAATTTGCCTTGCTAGGTTTTGGATTTGCTTAAGGTCTGTCATCTCTTTCTTTCTATTTTTTTTTTTTTCCTTTTGGAAGGGAAATGTCTATCCTATGCCTGTACACCATTGTATTTTGAAAGCACGTAACTTTTTGGGGGAGTGGATTTCAAGGGTTCACATCTGGAGAAGAATTTGGCTGCAGGATGATTCTTGCTCATGTCTGATTTAGATAATATTTAGATGAGAGTTTGGACTTTAGTTCATGTGGGAAGGAGCAAGCTTTTGGGATTACTGAGGTGGAATGAACATATTTTGCATGTGAGAAGAACATGAACCAGGGTGTGTTGCACAGGTTGAAATTCTATGAACTCCCTAGCCTCTGGAACTGCGAAAAATAGATTTTGTGTTTTTCTTTCTTCTTCTTTTTTTTTTTTTTGAGACAGAGCCTCCCTCTGTTGGCCAGGCTGGAGTGCAGTGGCATGATCTCAGCTCACTGCAACCTCCATCTCCCGTGCTCAAGCAATCAAGCAATTATCCTGCCTCTGCCTCCTGAGTAGCTGGGATTACAGGTGTGTGCCACCACACCTGGCTAATTTTTGTATTTTTAGTAGAGACGGGGTTTCACCATGTTGGCCAGGCTGGTCTTGAACTCCTGACCTCAGGTAATCCACCCCTCGGCCTCCTAAAGTGCTAGGATTACAGGCGTGAGCCACTGCGCCAGATCCGATTATGTTTTTTCAATAGATTTGTTTAAGCCTATGGTATTTGTTACAGAAGCCAGAAATGACTAAGACGACATATTAAAAATCACACTTTATATTTTATAATCTAAATTGTCTAGATTCCATGCAAATGTTTAAAAATCATATTGTCTGTGATCTAGTCAAACTGAATATTCTTGGGTTGCCATCAACAAGATTGTATCAAATTATAAATTTCATGTATTTTAACTTCCTGGAGAGCACAATAAAAACAACATAAAATTTCCTTTGTCTCTCTCTCTCTCTCGTTTTACTTTTATATCAATTTTTTAAAAATATGATTTATGAGATTACCCATATTTGGCTGGATATGATTGTACACATACAGATTAAGCTTGACTTTAAATAACTCTGAAGGATGTTCAAGGGAAGTGAATTATTTATCTCTATATTCCCAGTGACTGGAATACTGTACCACCTAGCAGGTGCTTGGCAGTGTTCCATGAATATTTCCACTGCTGTGATCCTTGTTTCAGCCTATGGCACCTGGAGGCTCACTTTACTCCTCTCTCTCCCCCATTCTCCTCCTTTAGCTAGTCACCACACTCTGTCCACATGGCATTCTGAATGTTTTTAAAATTCATTCACTTTCCCATTGGCTCTTCCTTGGTTCAGTCCTTAAGTCACTTTTTCCCTTGATTGTTTCAGCAGTCTGCTGTCTGTTCTTTCTTACTTCACCTTCTTGAAAAGACTTTTGGAGCAATTGGAATAAAATGAATGTATTTTGCATGTAGGAAGGACATGAACTTTGTGGGTAGAAAGGTACAATGCTATGGATTGAAGGCTCTAATCCATCCCCCACACCATTGCATACCTGATAGCACAACTTCCTATTGGATGACTCCACTAAGGCAATCACCAGACTCCGGAGTCTGGCACACAAGGCCTCCGCCACCTAAGCACTTGATTAAGATCTACTATTATTATTATAAGTGATATTACCTGACCGTTGTCTCTTCTCATGCCTTGTCAATCTCCATCTCACTCTTCATGCTCCAAATATCGTCACTTAGCATTCTCCCCAGAATGCATGCAGTTTCACACTTTCAAGCCTTTGCTCTGCAGTGTTTGACATGTGAAGAATCTTTCCCCACCTTCACATTAGGATTTCAGGACACTTTATCATCAGCCTGTCTGTAAAGACTTCCTTCCTACTTGGTCCCATGGCAGGATAAACAGCCTCCTTCATTTGATCGAGGGTACTCAATCCTGCTAGCACATGTACTACAAGAGATTACATTTGCCTATTTACTTTTCTGTAAACTGTTTGAGGGCAGGAACAGTGTTTTATTCTTCTTTGTCTCCTCAGTGCCTTGGATGTAGTACATGATCAATGAATGTGTTGGTGAGCTGTTGTGAAAAAAATAAACAAATAATAAAAGAAAATAAATGATTTAAACTGAGAACTCCAATTTTCTCATTTTATCATGTTATCATCATGATAACATAATGATGGCAGTAAAGGAAAAATAGGTTGTTTCTGCCAATGCATATAGAAATCAGTCCTCAGTCAAAAGAGTTGAGTGGATCTCTCTCCAGATCTCTGGAGTTATTCCTTTTTCACAACTCCACTGTTTTATTATACTGTCCTGCCATTCTATCTGCTTTGGTCTCAAATTTCAGTATCTGTCTCCTCACCTTAGTGAGACAACTAAATTCTCGTGGGTTTCATTTGCTGCTGACATGGCTTGGAAACTGACTCTAGGAAGCAAGCTGATGCAATCTTAGGGCTGGCCTTCTTCTTTACTTTTTTTTTTTTTTTTTTGAGACGGAGTCTTGCTCTGTCGCCAGGCTGGAATGCAGTGGTGCAATCTCGGCTCGCTGCAACCTCTGCCTTCCAGGTTCAAGCGATTCCCCTGCCTCAGCCTCCCAGTAGCCGGGACTACAGGCACGCACCACCACGCCTGGCTAATTTTTTGTATTTTAGCAGAGATGGGGTTTCACCATGTTGGCCAGGATGGTCTCCTGACCTCGTGATCTGCCCGCCTGGGCCTCGCAAAGTGCTAGGATTACAGGCGTGAGCCATTGCGCCTGGCCTGGCCTTCTTTTTTAACTTTCTCTGAGTAATCAGAGCCCACTGCCTCTGTCCAATGTCAGAAAATTGCTGTTTCATATAGTTTATCTTTTTTTAGTCATTTAATGTGTCAAGAAGAATCTACTCTCTCTTTCATCTTTGCCTGTGCATACATTTTTGAAAGTTAAACTTCCTTTGCATCCTGGGAGAAACTCTATGTGGTTTATATGCATTATATTTTTATATTATATTGCTGGGTTTATAATCAAATTTCTGCAAACCAATACAAACAGAACAACTTAAAAGCAGCCTATGAAGAAAGATACATTATGTACAGAGAAACAAAGAAAAGAATGTTAAAACTTCTCATCACAAACTATAAACCAGAGGATTCTTGCATCAATGCTCATGAGAGTTATCGATTTGTAGTTTTGTTTGTTTTATCTCATAATGTCTTTGTCTAGTTCTGGTATCAGTGTAACAATGAACTCATAAAATCAGTTAAGAATTCCTCTCTTCTGTATTATTTAAAATAATTTGTGTATAATTCATTTTATTTATTTCTAAAATATTTGATGGCTTGGAGTTTTCATTGTGGGAGTTCTTTTAATTATAAATAAAATTAATTGTTCATAGCTCTATTGAAATTGTCTGGGTTTTTTTTTTTTTTTTACCAATTTTGATATCAAGTAGCTTTTAAACATTTTATGTATTCTTTTAGCTTATAGGATTTGCTGGTATTAGTTTTTTCATGCTATTTCCATGTACTCTTTTAGTATTTAAAAGGACATTTAATCATATCCTTTATTTCACACTTATTACTGGTAAACTGTGATATTTTTCTTTTTTTCCTCTGAACATCCTGAAGTTTATTGATTGTATTAACCTTTTTGAAGAACTAACTTTACACTTAATTTATCTTTTTTGTTTTCTATATCTGTTCTCTTTATTGTTTCAATTATTGCATATACTTTGATTTCAATTTATTCTTCTTTTTCTTGTTTCTGAAGTTGAGAACTTGCAATATTGATTTTTGACTGTTTTTTATTGCTCACGTAACTATTGAAAGTATAGATTTCTTTGTAAGTCCTGCTTCAGGTGCATTGCACACATTTTGATGTGTTTTGTATTTGGCATTATTCTGTTCAAGACATTTAAAATTATCCTTTGTGCTTTTTTTTTAATTAATCCCTGAGTTCTTTGTAAATATGCTTTTTGTTTAACTTTTTTTTTTTTGAAATGGAGTCTCACTCTGTCACCCTGGCTGGAGTGCAGTGGCGTGATCTCGGCTCACTGCAAGCTCCGCCTCCTGGGTTCCCACCATTCTCCTGCCTCAGCCTCCCGAGTAGCTGGGACAACAGGAGTCCACCACCACGCCCGGCTAATTTTTTTTTATTTCTTAGGAGAGACAGGGTTTCACCGTGTTAGCCAGGATGGCTCGATCTGCTGACCTAGTGATCCGCCCGTCTTGGCCTCCCAAAGTGCTGGGATTACAGGCGTGAGCCACCACGCCCAGCTTTAACTTTTTATATTTGAGGATTTCTTGAATATATCTGTCTCATTGGTTTCTAATTTACTTGTGTTGTGGTTAGAATACATGCTATGTGTAATTGCAAACCTTTCAAATTAATGGAGACATTTTGGTCCAGTTTATAAGTCTTAAATTAGTATGTATTCCTCAGCACTTAGAATAAATGTGAATTCTACTTTTGTTTGAAGTAATTTTCTACAAATTTCAATGATGTCAAGCCAGTTGCAAGTGTTGTTCAACTTCTACATGCTTACTCATTTTCTGTCAACTTGTCAATTGAGGAGACAGGAGTGTTTAAATAAAAATATTTATGGAATTGTCTATTTCTTTTACCTTCTAATTTTGCTTAAATTAATATAAAGCATTTAGGATTTTTATATCTTTCCTGTGAATATATCTATTTCTTTTATCACTAGAAAACTTCCATAAAAGTTTACTTTGTCTTATACTAACAGCCACTCCAGCTTTCTTATGATGAATGTTTGAATGATGTTTGCTTATCCATCCTTTTATTTGTAATCTCTCTGCAGTTTTTCACTTAATCGGATTTTTTTGGTATGATGCAGACTCATGTCTTAAAATTTTTCTTAACCTTATAACATAGTTACTGTCAGGCCTCTGAGCCCAAGCTAAGCCATCATATCCCCTGTGACCTGCACTTATACATCCAGATGGCCTGAAGCAAGTGAAGAATCACAAAAGAAGTGAAAATAGCTGGTTCCTGCCTTAACTGATGACATTACCTTGTGAAATTACTTCTCCTGGCTCAGAAGCTCCCCCACTAAGCACCTTATGACCCCCACCACTGCCCGCCAGAGAACAACCCCCTTTGACTGTAATTTTCCATTACCTACCCAAATCCTATAAAACGGCCCCACCCCATCTCCCTTTGCTGACTCTCTTTTCGGACTCAGCCTGCCTGCACCCAACTGATTAAAAAGCTTTATTGCTCACACAAAGCCTGTTTGGAAGTTTCTTTACACGGACATGTGTGACATTTGGTGCCGTGACTCGGATCGGGGGACCTCCCTTGGGAGATCAATCCCCTGTTCTCCTGCTCTTTGCTCCATGAGAAAGATCCACCTATGACCTCGGGTCCTCAGACCAACCAGCCCAAAGAACATCTCACCAATTTTAAATTGGGTAAGTGGCCTCTTTTTACTCTCTTCTCCAACCTCTCTCACTATCCCTCAGCTTATTTCTCCTTTCAATTTCTGCACCACCCTTCAATCTCTCCGTTCTTTTAATTTCAATTCCTTTCCTTTTCTGGTAGAGACAGAGGAGACGCGTTTTATCCATGAACCAAAACTCTGGCATTGGTCACAGACTTGGGAGGACAGTCTTCCCTTGGTGTTTAATCACTGTGGGGACGCCTGCTTGATTATTCACCCACATTTCAGAGATGTCTGATCACCATGGGGACAGCCGCCTTGATCCTTCACCCTTAGAGGCAAGTACCACTTTCCTGGGGGCAAGCACCCCCCACCCCTTCTCTCCACCCTGTCTTTTCTCTGGGCTTGACTCCTTCACTATAGGCAAACTTCCACCCTCCGTTCCTCCTTCTCCCTTAGCCTATGTTCTCAAGAACTTAAAACCTCTTCAACTCACACCTGAACTAAAACCTAAATGCCTTATTTTCTTCTGCAATACCACTTGACCCCAATACAAACTCAACAATGGTTCCAAATAGCCCAAAAACGGCACTTTTGATTTCTCCATCCTACAAGATCTAGGTAATTCTTGTTGTAAAATGGACAAATGGTCTGAGGTGCCTGACGTCCAGGCATTC
Organism: Homo sapiens; assembly: GCF_000001405.40. Lineage (NCBI taxonomy): Eukaryota > Metazoa > Chordata > Mammalia > Primates > Hominidae > Homo > Homo sapiens. The sequence goes on from NC_000010.11 coordinate 55,972,693, forward strand.
TTTTACATGTTGGTCCCTCCCCAGTCTCTGTTCCCATGCAACTCGTCCCAAATCTTCCTTCTTTCCCTCCTGCCTGTCCCCTCAGTCCCAACCTCAAGCATCGCTGAGTCTTCTCAATCTTCCTTTTCTACTGACTCATCTGACCTCTCCCCTCCTCCCCAGACTGCTCCTCAGGTCACTCCCCACCAGGCTGAATCAGGCTCTAATTCTATCTCAGCCTCTGCTCCCCCACCCTATAATCCTTCTATCACCTCCCCTCCTCACACCTGGTCTGGCTGACAGTTTTGTTCCACAACTAGCCCTCCCCAACCTGCCCAACAATTTCCTCTGAAAGAGGTGGCTGGAGCTAAAGGCATAGTCAAGGTTAATGCTCCTTTTTCTTTATCCGACCTCTCCCAAATCAGTTAGTGTTTAAGCTATTTTTCATTAAATATAAAAACCCAGTCCAGTTCATGGCTCATTTGGCAGCAACCCTGAGATGCTTTACAGCCCTAGACCCTGAAAGATCAGAAGGCTGTCTTAGTCTCAATATGTATTTTATTACCCAATCCGCTCCTGACATTAAATAAAGCTCCAAAAATTAAATTCCAGCCCTCAAATCCCAGAACAGGATTTAATTAACCTCGCCTTCAAGGTGTACAATAATAGAGAAGAGTTGCAATTACTTGCCTGCACTGTGAGACAAAACCCCAGCCACATCTCTGGCACACAAGAACTTCAAAATGCCTAAGCCACAATGGTCAGGCTTTCCTTCAGGACTTCCTCCCCCAGGATCTTATTTCAAGTGCCAGAAATCTGGCCACTAGGTCAACGAATGCCCACAGCCTGGGATTCCTCCTAAGCCATGTCCCATCTGTGTGGGACCCCACTGGAAATCGGACTGTCCAACTCGCCCAGCAGCCACTACCAGAGCCCCTGGAACTCTGGCCCAAGGCTCTGTGACTGACTCCTTCCCAGATCTTCTCGGCTTAGCGGCTGAAGACTGACACTGCCCGATCGACTCGGAAGCCTCCTGGACCATCACAGATGCTTTAGGTAACTCTTATATTGGAGAGTAAGTCCATCCCCTTTTTAATCAATATGGAGGCTACCCACTCCACATTACCTTCTTTTCAAGGGCCTGTTTCCTTTGCCTCCATAACTGTTGTGGGTATTGACAGCCAGGCTTCTAAACCTCTTAAAACTCCCCAACTCTAGTGCCAACTTGGACAATATTCTTTTATGCACTCCTTTTTAGTTATCCCCACCTGCCCAGTTCTCTTATTAGGCTGAGACATTTTAACTAAATTATCTGCTCCCCTGACTATTCCTGGGCTACAGCCACTCCTCATTGCCACCCTTTTCCCCAGTTCAAAGCCTCCTTTGCATCCTCTCCTTGTACCTCCCTACCTTAATCCACAGGTATGGGACATCTCTACTCCCTCCCTGGCAACCAATCACACGCCCATTACTATCCCATTAAAACCTAATCACCCTTACCCCGCTCAACACCAATATCCCATCCCACAGCAGGCTTTAAAAGGATTAAAGCCTGTTATCACTCGCCTGTTACAGCATGGCCTTTTAAAGCCTATAAATTCTTACAATTACCCCATTTTACCTGTCCAAAAACCAGACAAGTCTTACAGGGGTTATTTCAGGATCTGCGCCTTATCAACAAAATTGTTTTGCCTGTCCACCCTGTGGTGCCCAACCTGTACACTCTTTTGTCCTCAATACCTTCCTCCACAACTCACTATTCCATTCTTGATCTTAAAGATGCTTTTGTCACTATTCCCCTGCACCCCTCATCCCAGCCTCTCTGTGCTTTCACTTGGACTGACCCTGAAACCCATTAGCCTCAGCAACTTACCTGGGCTGTACGGCTGCAAGGCTTCACAGACAGCCCCCATTACTTCAGTCAAGCCCAAATTTCTTCCTCATCCATTACCTATCTCAGCATAATTCTTCATGAAAACACACGTGCTCTCCCTGCTGATCATGTCCAGCTAATCTCCCAAACCCCAACCCCTTCTACAAAACAACTCCTTTCATTCCTGGGCATGGTTAAATACTTTTGCCTTTAAATATCTGGTTTTACCATGCTAACAAACCATTATATAAACTCACACACACACACAAAAACCTAACTGACCCCATAGATCCTAAATCCTTTCCCCGCTCCACTTTCCATTCCTTGAAAAACAGCCCTAAAAGCTGCTCTCACACTAGCTCTCCCTAACCCATCCCAACCCTTTTTTCATTACACACAGCCAAAGTGCAGGTCTGTGCAGCTGGAATTCTTACACAGGAGCCAGGACCGCGCCCTGTAGCCTTTCCGTCCAAACAACTTAACCTTACTGTTTTAGCATAGCTCTCATGTCTGCGTGCGGTGGCTGCCACTGCTTTAATACTTTCAGAGGCCCTCAAAATCACAAGCTATGCTCCACTCACTCTCTACAGTTCTCATGACTTCCAAAATCTATTTTCTTCCTCATACCTGATGCATATACTTTCTTCCCCCCTCCACTACCTCTCAGCAAGCCGAACTCATTGCCTTAGTTCAGGACCTCACTCTTGCAAAGGGACTGCAAGCCAATATTTATACTGACTCTAAATATGCCTTCCATATCCTACACCACCATGCTGTTATATGGGCTGAAAGAGGTTTTCTCCTTACTAAAGGGTCCTCCATCATTAATGCCTCTTTAATAAGAAGTCTTCTCAATGCCACTTTACTTCCAAAGGAAGCTGGGGTCATTCACTGCAATGGCCATGAAAAGGCATCAGATCCCTTTGCTCAGGACAACACTTATGCTGATAAGGTAGCTAAAGAAGCAGCTGGTGTCCCAACTTCTGTCCCTCATGGCCAGTTTTTCTCCTTCTCATTGTCACTCCCACTTACTCTCCCACTGAAACTTCCACCTATCAATCTCTTCCCACACAAGGCAAATGGTTCTTGGACCAAGGAAAATATCTCCTTCCAGCCTCACAGGCCCATTCTATTCTGTCATCATTTTATAACCTCTTCCATGTAAGTTACACACCTCTAGCCCACCTCTTAAAACCTCTCTTTTCCTTTCCGTCGTAAAAATCTATCCTGAAAAAATCACTTCTCAGTGTTCCATCTACTATTCTACTGCTCCTCAGGAATTTCTCAGGCCCCCTCCCTTCCCTACACATCAAGCTCAGGGATTTGCCCCTGCCCAGGACTGGCAAATTAACTTTACTCACAGAGAACAACCCCCTTTGACTGTAATTTTCCATTACCTACCCAAATCCTATAAAACGGCCCCACCACTATCTCCCTTCGCTGACTCTTTTTGGACTCAGCCTGCCTGCACCTAGGTGATTAAAAAGCTTTATTGCTCACATGAAACCTGTTTGGTGGTTTCTTTACACAGACACGCATGACAGTTATACTAATGTATCTCGAATTTTCATCCAGCCTGAAAACTTCTACCTTTTATTTGGAGGGCCTATCAGAATTAATAAAATTAACAATATGCTTGAGCTTTGGCTTGCCACCTAAATGATTGTTTTCCATTTACCTTATGTTTTCTTTGATCCTATATTTCCTCTTTATCAGTCTCCATTTGGAAAAATGAATATTTTTTATTTCATTTTATTTTCATTTTTTTAGCTATTGTTGCGCTGAATTTTATTTCTAAATGTTATAAACACCACAGTGCTTTTTACACATATTTTTTAAGTTGAACAGGTTAGACCTCTGAGCCCAAGCCTGCATGTGTACATCCAGTTGGCCTGAAGAAATTGGAGAATCACAAAAGAAGTGAAAATGGCCGGTTCCTGCCTTAACTGATGACATTACCTTGTGAAATTCCTTCTCCTGGCTCAGAAGTTCCCTCTACTGAACACCTTGTGACCCCCACCCCTGCCTGCAAGAGAAAAACCCCTTTTGGCTGTAATTTTCCACTACCCACCCAAATCCTATAAAACTGCCCCACCCTATCTCCCTTTGCTGACTCTCTGTTTGGACTCAGCCCACCTGCTCCCAGGTAATTAAAAAGCTTTATTGCTCACACAAAGCCTGTTGGTGGTCTCTTCACATGGACGTGCATGACAAAATCACTTCTCAGTGTTCCATCTGCTATCCTCAAGGATTTCTCAGGCTCCCTCCTTTCCCTACACATCAAACTCAAAGATTTGCCCCTGCTCAAAACTGGCAAATTAACTTTACTCACATGCCCCAAATCAAAAACCTAAAATACCTCTTAGTCTAAAAAACCACTTTCACTAAATAAATAAAGGCCTTTCCCACAGGGTCTGAGAAGGCCACTGTGGTCATTTCTTCCCTTCTGTCAGACATAATTCACTTTCTTACTTGGCCCCAACCTCGTCCCAGACACCAGCCCTCTAGGCAACTATCTTCCCGTCCTTCAGCAGGCTAAACAAAAAATTCACCAGGCTGCTACTCTTTCTTGCCTACTCCAGATTCCCAGCCATATAAAAACAAACGCTAGCTAAACAATCAGTTCTTGTTACAAATCTAACCTCTCAAACTCTACAACCTCGATAGACCAGATCCTACCTAGTCATCTATAATACTCCAATTGCCTTCTGCCTACAGGACCTTCCCCATTGATTCACGGTTCCAAAATACAACTGTGTCCATCGGACAGCCAGCCTGTTCTCTCCTCTTCCTCCTAAAAGTCACAAGTACTCTCCCCTACTTCCCTTAAACTCACTCACATTTCTAAAAAGCAATAATAACTGTTATAAGCCTAATACATCCCTTCATTCTATTAGGTCTATTCATCCTTACCCTACTTTTTGCAACAGGGCTTTATGCAGTCACCCCTACTACTGTGCCCCAAAATCTTGTCATCCCTACTATCTTCTTTCTAGTCACACTCCTATTCACCATTCTCAACTGCTTGTAAATGCCCTCCTCTTGTTTACACTGCAGGTTTACACTTTTCCTCCAAACCATCATAACTAATATCTCCTGGTTTTACCTCAAACTGCCACCCTTAGGTCTCTCTTAAAATAAATAAAAAATCTTCAGTAACAAAATACACTCCAATACTTTCAACCTAATAAAGTCCTATTCTTTTGTACTTCTTCTCATTCTCGTTCTTATGCCACCCTCTACCTCTCCCCAGCTATCTCCACCACACTATCAATCTCACTCACTCTCTCCTAGCTGTTTCTAATCCTTCTTTACCAAACAATTGCTGGCTTTACATTTCTCTTTCCTCCAAAATCGCCAAAGTCTCAACTAACTCACTACAAAACAAACAAACAAAAAAACCCTCTATATTTTTAATTAAAAAATATTTTTACCTAAACCAACCTAACCTAATATATGATAACATAAAAAAACTCAAAAATAAAGACCCAAAACTCGCCAACCAAACAAATAATCACACTATACCCCCTTAAACACTCTCTAATTAAATGTCCTGGGTCCCCCCAATTCTTAGTCCTTTAATACCTGTTTTTCTCCTACTCTTATTCAAACCTTGTGTCTTCCGTTTAGTATCTCAATTCATACCAGGCCATCACCAATCATTTTTTTTTTTTTTTTTTTTTTTTTTTAAGATGGAGTCTCACTCTGCCGCCCAGGCTGGAGGGCAGTGGCATGAGCCAATCATTCTATACAACAAATGCTCCCTCTAACAACCCCACAATATCACCCCTTACTCCAAAATCTTTCTTCAGTTTAATCTCTCCCACTCTAGGTTCCCACACCGCTCCTAATCCCCTTCAAAACTGCCCTAAGAAACATCACCCATTATCTCTCAATACCACCCCCAAAAATTTTTGCCGCTGCAACACTTCACCACTATTTTGTTTTGTTTTTCTTATTAATATAAAAAGACAGAAGAGTTAATTTTCATATTAAGAGAAAAAACCTAGGGAAGTTATACCTTGTGCTTAAATATTTGTCTTTTATGGTCCTCTTTGATTCTTTTGTAGATCTAAGTTTCCAATGGGTTAGATTTTCTTTCTGTAAAATACTGCTATTTATTATTTTTGGCAATGTATTATTGCTAGTGAACAATTTACTCAGCTTTTGTTTTGAAAAGTTTTTTTGACGGTGTTCGTCAGATGACTAGTTAATTTGTGGTTACAAAGACCCAGCCCCCTTGACACAATTTTAGAAAACATTTAATTGCTGTTTCTCCTCCAGATATCCCTTGGGCTTATGGGTATAGGAAGATCTGCCTTCTGCCTATGTCATATTTACCTCTTCTTCCCCCTTATGCTATTTCCATTGCTCTTGTACAGTTTTTCGATCCCAAGGATACTGTGCAATAACTTTCTGCACTCAAATCCCTAACTCAGCTTCTGTTGCCTAAGGAATCCAACTTAAGATAATGAGTTTAAAAGAATGCCAGTGCATATGTAGATTTAGTATTCAAATATAGTACTTTCACAGATTCATACAAAAATCATAAACAGCCACAAACACTCACAAGTATTTATATTTGTATATTTATATGTGTATGTATGTGTACTTTTGCCTGCCAAAGATTTTTAAATTCTCATACATTTTTGATTGACATCATGCTTAATTCCAATAAACCTTATCAGAGTAAACGGGTGTAATCTGAAATACCAACATAAACACTCCTTTATCAACTAAGACAGACCCAAAGGTTAAGGAAACAAGGGTACCAACAGGTCCAAGGTTCAGAGCCTGGCTGGCCTGGCAAATCTCTAAATTCTTATGGCTAAACTCCCTAACAATAGGAGCTATCAGCTCTGATTTACAACACAGTCACTACAACTCTGATGGGACAAAGGACCAGACTTACAAAAATTCGCTTCAGATAAGCTACTGCAGACCTTAAGCCAGTTTCAACCAGCTTATATGGGCTACACAGTCTTTGTATCCTATAGTTTCCCTTTTGTCCTACAGTCAAATTCCACTTCATTTTAATGCTGAGACCCTGCCTTGAAATGAACATGAAATGTATGTTACATACATGTCTACCCACCATGCATGGACTCAGCTCCCATCATAAATATGCATAGCTTTTGTCCCAAACCTGCTGAATGTGTGTGATACCAACTTTGTGAGGCATAAAACCTAACCTGTCTTTCCTCTCTTCAAAGAGAGAGGTGGAGACTTTCTCTTTCCAGCCTGCAAACCAGTATCACCAGAAAAGCTCTCCTTTCTACTATTTAGCCATTCTGGTGGTCCTTCGGGTGACAGGGATATTAAGCTTTATGTATAGTTTTATTAAACATCTCTGATAAAGCTCACTGTTATGAACACTTCAAATTTTGAGGACCATGTTCTTTCCCTAACTCAAATCTCAACTTATCTTTCATTCATAGCTTCCTTTAATTTCTATATTAGTTCTGATGCTCCAATATCTTAGATATAGTCTTAAATTGTAGATATCACATTCTGCTAGAATTTCAAGTGTGACAACAGTGAACTCTGTGGCTCCATGATAGTTCTTACAGGAGAGTGGATACGCACCCTTAGGAAGCCCAGAGGGAATTTTCAATTGTTACTATGTTAAAGTGTTGAGATGACCACACTCCTATCTCATTTGTCTCTAATAAACTTTACAAATTTAACTTATATGGCCATAAAATTATTTTATTTGTTTATACCTGATACTTTTTATAGAAATGCTTAAATTCCATTGATGCACATAACTTTCACAATTCCATATACATTCATTATATGTGTTTGTATTTATATATATATAATTTTAAGTTTAATATAATGAACACAATCAGAATGTCAATTAACTTATGACTAAATTGCCATTACATTGTGTTCATTAATGATATTACCTTGTGTTCATTTCTATTCTGAATGTCTTATTTATTATATAATTATACTAATACTGCTAAATTATAATTTTCATATTAGTTGTAACAAATTTGTAATTCATTTTGGAGTACTTAAAGTATTTCTCAGAAGAATAAAGAAACTGAAGTCGGAGAAATTAATTAAAAGACTACTTAATTAATCAGGAGGTCAGGGTAAAAATAAACAGCAAGGAATTGATAAGTTTAAGATACCTATGAGTGCCCTACATTCTAATGTATTTATAGGTTTCACAGACTTTTTAAATATACAATTATACATAGGCTATTGAATTGGCCATTGCATACCTGAGCATTAAAATAATGATATGCTACCTGGATATAAAAACTTACCTTAGTAAGTTTTACTAAGGCAACACTGACCTCACAATGAGTGGACCAGGGAAATACAATTAATTGTCCACATGGAAGCTAGGAAGATATTTCTAAAATGATTAAGATGTTGTGATTTAATAAAGAGACCAAGCAAGTTCTCACAGTACCCCATCTTTGTTTAGCATTTTTCCTGTTTTATGTGCTGAATCCTTATATATGAATTCATGTATAGATAAAATCCTGAAAATGACATTTTATTTTTTTTTATTTTTTATTTATTTTGGGAACAAAGTCCTTCTCTGTTGCCCAGGCTGAAGTCCAGTGACACAGTCTTGGCTCACTGCAACCTTTGCCTCCTGGGTTCAAATGATTCTCCTGCCTCAGCCTCCCAAGTAGCTGGGACTGTAGGCACACACCACCACGCGTGGCTAATTTTTTGTATTTTTAGTAGAGATGGGGTTTCACCACATTGGCCAGGCTTGTCTCGAACTCCTGACCTCAAGTGATTAGCCTGCCTCGGCCTCCCGAAGTGCTGGGATTACCGGCGTGAGCTGTGGTGCCCGGCTTTGGAATTTTGATTTTAAAAACCAGTACCTTATTCAAGTGGATCAGCATTAAATAACACCCTCTTCCAGAATATTGCTAATGTATTTTTAGATTTCTGACTTATTCAATAGGTATTTGTTGCCAAGATTTTTCAAAGAATTAAAGAAAACATATTCTGTCCAAAGCATCTTATGTATTTCTAATTGTGCTACGTAGCAAGAAGCCTAGGTAGAGAACTTTATATTTATAAGAAAATATGTCAGTGGAAAAGCACTAAAACCATGCTTTATAGGCAATCTCAATGAGGATTACTAAATCATGACATACTGGAAAACTTTTGTGATATAAAAACACCTAAGCTTTTGGATTGCGTATTTAACACATCTTACAAACTAAGATAAAAAGAATGATCAGAAAACTTCGGAGGCCATAAGTGTCAGGAAAGATGTAATCCACATGGGTGCAAGAGACACGTAGCTGGTGAAATCCCAGTGTACACCCTGGTGGCCTAGAGCTTCTGTTTTAATGGGCTGTGCAAATGTAATGCCCACGTGAAATAATGATGCTCAATCACAGCATTCTCCCTCAATAACCAGAAAAAATCTTGCCCACAAAGAAAGAAAAGAATGTTTCAATCTTTTCTCTGGATATAGAAGGAAAATAAACAAACAAAAATCTGTACCTTGAACATCTGAAATCTGAAGGGACTTCAGCTGATAATGTAATTTCATAAAGTATTGGGTTAAGCATTGGGACAAAATGGAAAGTCCCAAAATGTTAGGGAAAGGAAATAAGTCTGAAGAATATCACACAAGAAAAGAAGAGGATTTGAATTTTTATTATTCTTTATGGCTACATTTTATTGTGTTGCGAATATCTGAAAGAACACAAATATTTTATGTCAATGTTTTCCTCTTGTGATTTTGTAACGTTAAAACAGACCCTGATAAATTGTATCATTTATAGATCTGCACCTTGAATTGTTGCATAGTTTAACTAATGTATCGATCACATAAGAAACAAAATCTGAAGAAATATTTTTCATTATGCATAAAGCTATTGATATTAACAGTAGGATTTTCATGTCATTAATCATTTAGTACACTGCTGAAAACCAGAATGAGAAAGGAAATACTGGGGTTTTGATTTATTTACTTTATAAGGAACAAACAATAAGAGACATAGCTTATACCTGAGCAAATGTAACTGAAGAAAAAGACAAATTTATTTCAGTAGACTTGTATCATTTTGGTTACTAGTTCAGTGACAAAAATCGATAAAATCTTACTTCAAAAGGCTTCTCATTTTTTCATAAATAATATTAATAAACAAATCCAGAATTCCCAATATTTGCAAATTATGGTCTCAGAGGTAAAATGGCAAATAATCATTACCTCCAGGATATTTCTGTTATTGAAGAAATAAAATTATATATGATTATATTGTAGAGCAGAAAGTATTAAGTGACTCTAGAGATGACAAAGTAAAACACCATAGGAAGTAGAAAGCAACATTACTTCCTACTAGGAAATGACTGATGAAAAATATTGTCTTGGGTTCCATAAAATGAAGAGAATTATAATACAAATTATTAAAAGGGCTTATTTTTTTTGCCTAGAAATAGCAAAAAGTACCAAAGTAATTTTAATAATACTTTGCATTTAATAGTATTTATGATTTAACCAAACAAGATTAAATGCATAAAACAATCTATCCTATGCTGTAACAGCAGCCTCAGATGGTTGCTAAATCTAAAGGCAAAAGCATTTTGTATATTTTATTTCACAGAGAGATAAAAAGTATTTACATAAATTTATATTTTGTATACTGCAGACAATATGATCTCACCATAAAAAAATACACAAATCAGAACAGAAATCATGTTATGAATACAACGGCACTTTTTTCTGCATTCAAGAATTCATACAGTGCAGAACTGTCTGTAAGATTTTGTCTTCTTTTCAACATGCACAAAGTCTTTATTATTCTAACTAGTAAACTTTAAAAATTTATTTTCTGGTTATAAACATGTCATTGAATATAGTCAGATGATCCCATTGTTTAAGTAGCTAATGAGTCCCCCACTACAAGGAACAGTGAAGATCATTCATATGGTTACTAATCCAGTAGAGAATGCCAAGAATATTTGAAATAAATGCCACTCTTAATCAATAGCTATCGTTACAGTGTTTCACGGTGAGATAAAAATAAAGACATACAATTAATTTTGATAAGACATGACTGCTGTAGGTACTGTTTATAAAGTGATACTGTATTTGTTTTTCGTTGGGTAAAATATCAATGCTAGTAAAACAAATTAATGAAATAAAACAAAAATTTAAAATACACTGCTGCTAGGTAGGTAAAATATTGACTACAGTACCTGAGATCAGGATAGTAACATAGTTAATTCCTTTTTAATTTTAGGGTTGAAGCATCTCAACCATTATGAAATGAAATGAAATTCTCACTGCAGCAACTCTCAAATTTTGAGGCAGAAACATTTTCAATATATATGTCAGATATATTTTAAAGAAATGAATTGTCATTGATATAGCTAAAACCAAGTTTATGAAGATCATTGCCATCTTGAGTTTACTGGGTTTCCACACAAACAAATAGTACTGTATTTTTTTTTTATTTTTGAAGTGTACATAAATGTTGTTACCTGCTATTCTCATTAAAATTTTGTTTTCATGTTTTTTATATAAATGCTCATTTAATTAATTCTAGTAGTTTTATTATTTTTTACAAATAAATACGAATCATTAAGAATCATTCATATAATTTCTACACTATGATTCTATTGTCTCTTAATTTATAACATATACATACAAAGGGATGTCTGTATGTATCTTAATCGAATTATAGATCAGAAAAATAAAAAACTCTATAGGATTTTAATAGAGTAATTGGGAAATTGAATATGCACTGGTATTTTTTTTAAAATAGTACTGCATCAGTGTTAAATTTTTTGAGTGTGATCATTGTATTGGACTTATGTAGGAATATATTATTATCCGCAGGAGAAACCTGTCGAATAGTTCAGAAAAATAATACATAGAGAATTTTTAAAAATTTCAAAAAACATTCACGGAGAACATATTCTTTGTCCTATTCTTTTGACTTCTGTACAGGTACAAAATTTTGCAAAATAAGTACAAAATTGGTGTGCACTTGTTTAATTACCAATGAGAAGAATCCATTTGAGAATAAATGTTTGCGCATATGAAGACAGGCAAGCTGGAAAAAAGAAGTTATCCTTACCTACAATAAAAGGACATTCTTTCCAAGAAAGGAAGAATAAGAAGAAATGTAGATTTGGTCTGAAGCTTTGTATCATCTCTTTGAAGACGGTTCAATATTATGGCTTCAGTTTACTCTGTGGGATAGGATGGAAGCCTAGCAACTACCAAAATTGACAATGGGATGAGCGTTGACAATTTCAGGAAATAGAGTAAAAGCACACCTTGACCAGGGAAACATAGTTGGTTCAAAATAATAGTAAATATTTTAAATTTTTTCATTAATAATTTATAGTATACAATTCTGACTTATCTATCTAGCTGCCTAGTTGCTCAGGTATGGAAAAGCAGATAAATTTCATGTAGGCTTGGGTTTTGCCAGAGAGATAACATGAAAAGACTAAAGGGCAGATAAGTTTTTGTTATACAATATTATAAAAGACTGGAACATCTACATTGGAAGAACTGTTTTTATAGGAATAATTGAGCAAGCAGCTAAAAAAGAGAGGATATTATTTGTGAGTACAAAGCTGGAAAGACTCTGATGTAGGACCATAATAGATCCAAGAAGGCAATATGAACAACTACTGTTTCATCTTATGTAAGCAACCAGTCTCTTTGTTCTAAGAGATCTATTAATACTGCAAATTAGTCATAGCCTATTAGACAGTATGTCAGTTTTAGATTTAGTTATCTTTTTCTATCTTTTTCTTCTTCTTGTTAAATACACCAATGTGTAACATATTTTCTATTCATAATAATGGAACATTTTTGGACTCATGCATTTTAAATATGAAATTTGAGTGATATCTAATATCTTTAACATAGTTAAATATTAAATATTCTGGTTATACATATTTCTTCAAGAAAATAAATCTGCTCTTTCTGTAATATTTAACTCTTATCTGATATCTCCCCAAAGACCAACCAAAGAGACCAACTTTATAAGAAGTTTGATCATTTGTCTGTATTAATATCAGGAGTAAGATTGATAAAATTAACAAAAGCATCTTGAAGAGGAGATATTTATAGTGCAGTTTTCTGATATGCACTGCAGTCATATTAGCATATGAAACAACAGGGGAGATAAGTAAAGCATATTAGAAATAAGTTATATTGAAAATTTTTCATTGCATATCAAAATCAGTGAATTTCTTCCTCATCTACTGACCATTCAATGCTGATGTAACTACATGAATTTCTTATGAAAACATTAATATAGTTTTGCCATTTCTAATGTTAATAGTGTTAAACTTGCTGCACTCTAAAAAATTTGTTCTTTTTGACCATAGGGATAATATCAAAAGCTAAATTATATAAATATATAAAATATATAAAATAAATCAGATTTTTAAAAAATCATAAAAGCTGTTTATTTTCCATGTAGAAAGCCATTTTTGATTACCTGGTTGCCCAGATATGTATTAGGTACTCTGTGTTTGAAAGAATAATTTTATGAGGTAGTTGATGTTTTGAAAAGCAAAAGTGCTCATTTAGAACACATAATCCCTCATGTTGGGATTCACAGACTGGAGTCTCAGAAGAATTAAGCCATGAATCCACTTCTAAGTACCTATGAATACTTTATACAAAGTTTTGTCGGTATGTGAATTTTTTTCCTAAGAAGAAGGTACAAAAATAAATCATTCTGAAAAGGTTTCTAGGTCTCTAAATATTTAAAAGTCTGCTATTTTTAGCATTCTTGATAAATGTAGCTGGGTTCACTTTCAGTGTTCATTTCAGACAGAGAAATTTTGATCTTTTGCTTATGCTAAATTTATCTCGTCATTTATTTTTAAAAGACTTAAAAATAAAGCTTCTATTTGATTTTAGTGAATTTTATTTTTATACAATAAAGTGCCATTATCAAAGAAGCTGGTTACAGATGATGACTTAGCTTTATGTCCTATAAGTCATCTCACTTATTTTTTTTTTTCTTAAAACTCTTTGGCTTTTAAGACAACATGCAATAAAAAACGACTCAATTATGCCTAGCATTTGTGCAATGACTTTTTTTTAAGTTTCATTTTTAAGTTCAGGGGTACATGTACAGGTTTGTTATATAGGTAAATTCGTTTCATGGAGTTTCTTGTAGCAATTATTTTGCCACCCAGATATTAAGCCTAGTACCCATGTGTTATTTTTCCTGATCCTCCCCTTCCTCCTACACTCCACCCTCCAATGGGCTCAATATCTATTGTTCTCCTCTGTTTTATTCTCAGCATTTAGCTTCCACTTATAAATGAGAACATGCTATATTTGGTTTTGTGTTCCTTCATTAATTTGCTAAGGATAAATGGCCTCCAGCTCCATCCATGTTCCTGCAAAGGACATGATTTCCTTCTATATTTTATGGCCGCATAGTATTCCATGGTGTGTGTGTACCACCTCTATGCATATAGACTACAAAATCTAAAAGAAATGGATGAACTACTGGACACATACACCCTCCTAAGACTACAGTAGGAAGAAATTGAATCCCTGAAAAGACTAATAATGAGCTCTGAAATTTGGTCAGTAATAAATAGCCTACCAACAACAACAAAAAGCCCAGGACTAGATGGATTCACAGCTGAATTTGACTAGATGTACAAAAAAGAACTAGTTCCATTCCTGTTGAAACTATTCCAAAAGATTGAGGAGAGACTCCTCCCTAACTCATTCTGCAAGACCACTGTTTTCTGGATACCAAAACCTGGCAGACATACAACAACAACAACAAAAATAAAACTTCAGGCTCATATCCTTGATGAACATCGATGCAAATATCCTCAGCAAAATTCTGACAAACTGAATCGAGCAGCAATCAAAAAGCTTATCCGCTACCTCATCAAGTAGGCTTCATCCTCGGGATGCAAGTTTCATTCAACAAACGCGAATCAATAAATGTGATTCATCACACAAAAGAACTAAAGCAAAAACCACATGATTATCTCAATAGATGCAGAAAAGGCTTTCAATAATATTCAACACTCTTCATGTTAAAAACTCTCAATAAACTAGGTATTGAAGGAACAAAGCTCAAAATAATAAGAGCCATTTATGACAAACCCACATCCAACATCACACTGAAGAGGCAAAAGCTGGAAGCATTCCCTTTGAAAACTGGCACAAAATAAGGATGCCCTCTCTCACCACTCCTATTCAATGCAGTATTGGAAGTCCTGGCCAGGGCAGTCAGTCAAGATAATGAAATAAAGTTCATCCAAATAGGAAGAGAGGAAGTCAAACTTCCTGCTTGCAGATAACATGATCCTATATCTAGAAAACCTCCTATTCTCAGCCCCAAAACTCCTTAAGCTGATAACCAACTTCAGCAAAGTCTCAGGATACAAAATCAATGTGCAAAAATTACTAATGTTCCTATACACCAACAAGAGTCAAGCCGAGAGCCAAATCAGGAAGGCAATCTAACTCACAACTGCCACAAAAAGAATAAAATATCTAGGAATACAGCTAACCAGGGAGGTGAAAGATCTTTACAAGGAGAATTACAAACCACTACTCAAAGAAATCAGAGCTGACACAAACAAATGAAAAAATATTCCATGCTCATGGATAGGAAAAATCAATACATAAAAATGGCCATACTGCTCATTTGTTTTTATCGTGTGTATTTGTGTATATGCACGTGCCTGTGGTGTTTCAGATGAAAAACACATGTTCATGAAAGTGTTCCTTGTGTAAAACACTCAGGAACTAAGTAAGGAATATGCAAGAAGCAACTGATTTTCTACTAATTATATGAAACATTTCTCTCCCACTTTGTTCGTCCTTCAATTATAGAAATTTGTACTACAGCCTGGCACTTGGTTATATAAGGTCATTTACAGGCATTAATCATTGGGGCAGTGAAAATACTACAGATATTTACAGGCTGGGAATGGGTGAGCATCAAACAATCAGAACAAATGCCTATCAGAGTGAGCTTACATTCTTACAATGAAATGGAGCTACCAGCTGTGTATCAGTCACACTGGGGTAGCTTTAGGAGACTGAAGTTAGAATCTTTTACTAAATCCAAATGATGACATTGCTGAAACTGTTTTTGAAGTAAATTACATGTATTGGGAAATAAAATATTTGAGTATCCAGGTAACTCAATAAGAGTTTTGATGTTCACATTTGGTTGTGTTTTCATTTTTCTTTAGATATTTCAACTATTTGCTACATTTGCTACATAGAAATTAAACCTACCTAAAAACATCACATCATCAACAACTACGAGAGAGAATGAGAGAGAAAGGGTAAATGTGGTATAAATCTTTTAAAGAGAAAGAGTATTAGACAGAAAGACACAGAAAAGCACACTGAAGAAAATCCTAGTATAAAAACAATAATTGTATTTAAAAACTGGTACTTAAAAAACATATAAGCCCTAGGCATAAAATGAACACACAAATCTAGGCTGATGCCAAGTTTCTAGTCATTTGTGCATTATTAGAAATACCCTTATATGCATTTTATTTACATACTTGAACTATATTGTCAAATTAGATGATGAAAAGGATAGACTATATTGGTGAAGGGTTTATCTGAAAACAAAGGATATTTTCTCCTTTATGGCAGATCCCTTGGTCTCTGCAGCATTGCTCCGACAGCTCCATTAACCTTTGTTCTTTGCGCATTTGTGGACTTTGAATTTGCTTGAATTCACATCAATCATAGTTAAAAAATAAAACAAACAAAAAGTTACAGTTATTTAGTCTGATAAAAAGGTATCCTTTTGAAGAAAACTACGTTGAGAATAAATCTTGAAATGCATTAACCTTTCCACTAGAGGGACAGGTGTTATCAGAAAATACCTTCATTTTTATATACCATATTTTCCTTAATAGATACTGTTTGGATGAAAAACTGAATAGTGTTTACCAAAATACATCTAAAGTCTTGAGTATATCTGAGCATTTTTAGTCATCTTTATTAACACTCAGTTTTTGAGGCCACTTTTTACATTACAGCTTTTGGTTACTCTTCAAAAATCACTCATCTACTTGAGTTGAGGAGTCAATAAAGAAGGATAACATGGAGAATGTACAAGACAATGCAGATAACAAAGAAAACTGAAGGGAAAAATAAATGCAAAGATACTTTTGGTAGGTATTTTTATATAGAAGAAAATGAATAAAGGATGGGAGAATGACATTATTCAAATAGCTGAGACAATTGGGTTAAAGAGACTTTAAAAAATAAGTGAGTTTATTTACATATAACGAACCAAATACAGCAGGCTGCTACAGCTAAAGACTGGACAAATTATTCTATTTAATATTTTTCTAAGTGGCATCACTAAATACTGATTTTTGGCATTTAATAACAGCTGCTTAATGCTAAATTATACATATGATATATTCATATATTAATGTAATATGCAAATGTGCATATCTGTACACGTGAATATTTCAAATTAATTTCATATAAAATTACCTCTTGATTTGTAATTACAGTAAAGACAAATCAATTAATTAAGGTATATTTTTAATACATTGTTTCATTTCTTTGTTTCTCTTCCAAACTCTACCTTGCCTCACTTTATGTTTATTCTTATTTATTAAAAAAAATTTGCAACTGTGTGAACATATTTTCTCAAGATATTTTGATTTTTCACTATTAAAATTTCTCAGTTTTGAAGGAAAGAAAAACAAACTGCTTATTTAAGAAGATACATTTTATAAATATATATTCCAATATACATAAAATAAATATATATATATTTTTTCTCCCAAACTCATTATATCTTTCTACATTTAGAGGTTTCTGTATCTCATACTTGTGATACCAATTTTATGCAGACTAACTTTTTACTAATTATTTTCTTAATTTTAATTTTATTTCTTCTCACCTCCTCTCTGTGACTGCATTTCTAAATCATCATCATCACCACCACCAACACTACTATCACCTACACCATCATCATTGTCATCAACAATAACAGTTTACATTTATAATGTTTAAACATGTCTAGGCAGTTTAGTAAGTGGTCTAGCATGTGATAGCTTATTTAATAATTCCCACAAAACAAGTGGTAGTCAATATATTTATCTGTAGTATATAGATTAGTGTAATGAGTTTACCAAAAATTTGTTCATCTCCTCAGTTAATAGATATTTAGATTGTTTCCTGTTTGAGGATGTTCTATATGATGCTACCATAAATATTTACATACAGGTCTTGAGTGTTCATTTTCTGGGGTAAACACTAGAGAAAGGTATAGCTAGATTTTTTAGAGTTTATCTAATTATATAGTAAATTGCCAGGGTGTTTTCCAAATGATCTGTTTTACATTCCCTCAAGAAATTTATTAGGATGCTATAAGTTCAAATTCTTGTTTGTAATTGATATCATAATTGATATTGTCAGTCTTCTCAATTTGGCCATTCCAGTGAGCATAAAGTGGCATGTCATAGGTTTTAAATTTTAACTCAGTGAATGACTAAGGTGTTGAATGTCTTTTAATGCGTGTTTTTTTGACATCTGTCTCTTTGCTTTGGAGAAGTGTTTATTTAAATATTTTGATTGTTTTTACTTATTTTTTATTGTTAATTTATAAAAGTTGTTTACCTAATTAGGATACAAGGCCTTTATTAAATATGTGTTTTACAAATATTTCTCACAGACTATGGCTTGTCTTTTCACTTTTTAACGCTGTCTTAGGAAAAATAATCGTCTTTCATTTTGCTGAAGCTATATGATGAGTGCTTTATGTATCCTAAAAAATCTATGCATCTCAAGGTCAAAATTATTTTCTCCCATGTTTCTGCAATCAGACCTTATAGTTTTATCTCTTATACTTAGGTTTGCGATCTATTTTGAATTAAGTTATGCATATGGAACGTATTTCTTCTTTTTTTGCATATGAATGTTGTTTCCACCTCCATTCCCCTTTGAATTACCTTGTCATTTTGTGAAAGTCAATTGCCTATATGAAAACTGTCTGTATGAAAACTCTGTATCTATCATTTATCAACTCTTTACCTATTTTTTTAACTCTTTACCTATCTATAATTACACAAATTCCACATAATCTTGGTTACTGTAGCCATATAATAGGCATTTAAATCAATTAGTTTGATTCCTGTATTTTTTTGCTTTTAAAAAATTGCCTTGGCTGTTTTATGCCATCTATGTTTTCATATGCACTTTAGAATCAAGTTTAATTTCTATGAAGTAACCTGCTGGACTTTTTTTTTTTTTTTTTTTTTTTGGACTGTGTTGAATCTATGTCAGTTTGGGGAGAATTGGTATCTTAATATTGAGTCTTCTCTTTAATTACCTGTATTCCTCTGTTTCTTTAGGTCTTCTTTTAACAATATGTTTGTACATTGTAATGAAGTGAGCTTGGATATATTTGTTTCTAGCTATCCCTAAATGTTTTACCTTTTAAAATGATATTGTGTTATCTATATTGTTACAAAATTGGTTTTTATATATTAACATTGTATCCTGAGATCTTATTAAATTCAAACCTCAGTATTAGTAGTTTATGTATTTTTTTTGGATGATCTCTTTATACAGCTATGCATTTTAGAATAAAGAACATTTTGTTTTTTCTTTTCCCATCTGTTTATGTTTTTTAATTGTTTATTCTATTTCTATTCTTATTTCTATGTATATATATATTTTTTTCTTTCCCTTGCCTTATCGCACTAAGGGCCTCCGGTACAATGTTGAGTACAAGTGATGAGAACAGTTACATTTACCTTGTCCTCAAATTTACTGGGAGCACATTTGTTCTTTCACCAATAAATATGAGGTTAAAGATGTTTCACAAGTGGCCTTTATCAGATTATGTGTGAATTTCTGATATTTTTTAAAATTATGATGGATGAATATTGCATTCTGTCAAATAATTTTCTCAGTCTATTTTAATGATTATTTAATTTTTCTTTTCATCTGACATTGTGAATTAAATTGAACTTTAAAACAAGCTTTTATTCTAAGATAAACTTCACATGTTCATGATGTATTATTGTCCTTACATATTGCTACATACAGTTTGCTAACAGTGTCATTAAACTTTTTCATGAAGGTTTTGGGATTTTGTTGTGGTTTGCTTTCTTGTAATGTCTGTCTTATTTTGAAATCAGGATAGTTTTGATTGACTAAAGTGACTTGGATATTGTTCCCACATATCTTATATTCTGGAAGATTTGGGGTAAAAATAACTAAATGTTGGAAGAATTCAGTAGTGAAGACATTTGTGCTTAGGGATTTTTTAACCATAGATTGAATTAATTTAACAAATACATATTCCGTTTATTTATTTCTTCTTCATTAAGTTGTTATTTTGTGGTTCTCGTGAAATTGTTGGCTTATATAAACTATCAAAGTAGGAGAAAACTAGTCTTATCATTTTCATATTTTGCTCTTAGTGTCTGCAAATTCTCTAATATCTCATTTTTATAATATCTCATTTATTATCCCAATATTTGTAATTTCTGTTCTTTTTGTTCCTGTAAATCTACCTGTAAGTCTATCATTTTCATGATTTTTTTAAATAATATTTTATGTTTCTTTAAGAATCTCAATTACTTTCTATTTACTATGTCATTAATTTCTGCTCATATCTTTATTATTTCTTTGCTCATTCTTACTTTGTTGTTTTTCTCATATAAGCCTTTAATGTTATGGATTTTTCTAATTATTGCTTTAGCTCTATCTCACAAATTTTGACATACTGTGTTTTCATTTTTATTCATTCAAAATCTTTTCAATTCGTCTTGTTACTTCTTTGATCCATCACTGATTAGAGGTGTGTTCATTATTTCTCCAATATTTGGATATTTTACAGATATTTTCCTGTTACATATTTCTTGTATAATTTTTCTGTGTTCAGAGAACATAGTATTATTCCAATGCCTTAAAAATGAGTTATATTTTTTATAGCTCAGAATATAGCCTATCTTGCCTTTAAACATTCCATATAAAAATTTTAAAAATGTGCATTGTACTGTGGTTTTACAGATAATTCTAAAATAACAATTATATTAATTTGGCTGGCTACATTGTTTGGATCTTCTATATCTTTCTCTAACCTTATTTAATTTTTACTTCTTTGTCTAGCAATTACTAAGAGAAAAGTACTAAATTATCCAACTATAATTGTGGGTAGTATTTTACTTTAAGTATACTGAAGTTTTGCATTAGGTGTATATACGTTTAGAATGTTCATTTCTTCTCTTGGGATTGATCTCTTAATCATTATGGTATACACCTCTTTAAATTTCTTTATTTTATTAGTAGTAGTAGTAGTATTTTTGAGACGGGGTCTTGCTCTGTCGCCCAGGCTGGAGTGCAGTGGCACGATCTTGGCTCACTGCAAGCTCCGCTGCCCAGGTTCACGCCATTCTCCTGCCTCGGCCTCCTGAGTAGCTGGGACTACAGGCGCCTGCCACCGTGCCCAGCTAATTTTTTTATATTTTTGGTAGAGACAGGGTTTCACCGTGTTAGCCAGGATGGTCTTGATCTCCTGACCTCGTGATCTTCCCACCTCGGCCTCTCAAAGTGCTGGGATTACAGGTGTGAGCCACCACGCCTGGCCACCTCTTTACATTTCTAATAATATTTCTTGTTCTGAAATAACTTTGGTTAGTTTGCACAGCATACAATTTTCCCATCTTGTAATTTATTTACTTTCAGAGATGGGATCTAACTATGTTGCCCAGTCCGACCTCAAACTCCTAGGATCAAGCAATCCTGCCACTTCAGCCTCCCAATTAGCTGAGACTACAGGCCTGTTCCAGCACACCTTTCTAAACTTTTATTTTTAAACCTTTGTCCTTCTATATTTAGTCAGTTCTTAGAGATAAGTACAGTTATATATAAAGTATTGTTTTCTTATCTAGTTTCACAAAGTCTTCTTTTTAATGGGCTTGTTTAAACCATTAAGGTATGATGCAGTGGTTAATCTTACGTGCTAACTTGATTGGGACAGAGGTGCCTTGATATTTGCCCAGTTGTCCTTTCCAATGTAGGTGGACCTCAACTGATTCATTAGATAATTGGATAGAACAAAATGGGGTAAAAGATAATTTGCTCTCTCTGCCTGTGTGTGTGTGTGTATGTGTGTGTATCCCATTGTTTCTATTTTTCTGGAGAACCCTGATGAATACATATAATGTAGTTATTTATATGGTAGGATTTCAAACTATCTTGCTAGTTGTATTTTATTTTTTCAATCTGTTCTTTTATTTCATTTTCTGATTTCATTGACTAGATCAATTTTCTTATTAATTGCATTTTACTTCCACTATTGTTATATTAGTTACAGTTTTTTTGGTGATTACCATAGAATTACAATATAAAACTCAAATGTACTACAACCCCTATTACAAAAAATGTTATACCACTTTATGAATAATTTCAGATACATCATCTTTCTTTTTGCTAATGTATTGTTGTTTTTGTTAAATATTTTATTTTTATTTATGTTATAAACTCAATACATTGTTGGTTTTTTTTTTTTTTTTTTGAGATGGAGTCTTGCTCTGTTGCCCAGGCTAGAGTGCAGTGGCATGATCTTTGCTCACTGCAACCTCCACCTCCTGGGTTCAAGCAATTCTCCTGCCTCAGCCTCCCAAGTAGTTGGGATTACAGATGCGTGCCACTGTGCCTGGCTAATTTTTGTATTTTTAGTAGAGATAGGGTTTCACCATCTTGGCCAGGCTGGTCTCAAACTCCTGACCTTGTGATCCACATGCCTTGGCCTCCTAAAGTGCTGGGCTTACAGACGTAAGCCACCGTGCCTGGCCGATGTTTTTATTTTAGTCAATCAATTATTTATTTGAAAGTTTAAGCATAAGAAAAAAATTCTTTCACATATAAATTTATTTTTACTAATTTAGATTCTGTTCATCTCTTTGTATAGATCAAATTGCCATCGGGAATCAAACATCTTCTAATTGAAAAAACTTCTTTTGATATTTCTTATTGTGTGGTGCAGTGTCAATAAATCCTCTCATTCTATTTGTCTATAAAGGCTTTTTATACTAATTTTGGAAAGTCCTTTTTAATCTTAATAAATTCTAAGTTTATTTTTTTTTCTATTAGTACTTTGGATGTTTCCTCCACTTTTTACTCTCCTGTATTTTTCTAAATAAAAATTTATGTGTTTCTTATATAGTTTTTTCTTAATATAAGGGTTTTTTTTCCTTCTACCTCATTTCAAGATATTATTTTTCTTGAGCATTTTGGCTCTGATAAGTCTAAGTCTGTATATGTGTATAGGAGAAAGAGAGAAAGAGGGAGTGAGAAAGAGAGAGAAAGGGGAGAAAGACAGAGGAGTGTGTGTATATGTGTTTCCTTTTTGTGTGTGTCTCCTTCTTAGAGTTCTCTGAGAGTCCTGAACCTGTGGTTTGTTAGTTTTGTTATTGTTAGTAATTTCTCAGTCATTATATCTTCATACATATATACATACATATATATATATATATATATATATATATTTTTTTTTTTTTTTGAGATGGAGTCTTGCTCTGTCGCCCAGGCTGGAATGCAGTGGCACGGTCTCAGCTCACTGCAAGCTCTGCCTCCCGGGTTCACGCCGTCTCCTGCCTCAGCCTCCCCAGTAGCTGGGACTACAGGCGCTGCCACCATGCCTGGCTAATTTTTTGTATTTTTGTATTTTTAGTAGAGACGGGGTTTCACCATGTTAGCCAGGATGGTCTCGATCGCCTGACGTCGTGATCCGCCTGCCTCGGCCTCCCAAAGTGCTGGGATTACAGGCGTGAGCCACCACACCCGGCCATATTTTCATATATTTCTTCTGCCTTTCTCTTTCTTCTTTTATTAGAGACTTATTTTATTTTATTCTGTTTTAACAATTGGCCATTTAGTACTTTCTCTCAGCTCTCAGGTGTCAGTTTTTTTTTTCCAACTTTTATTTTGTCTTTGTGTTTCAATTTGGTTATTTTCTACTCACCTATCTTTATGTTTTCTGATTCTTTCCTCAACTGTGTTAAGTCAGTTTATAAGCTTGCTGATAAAACCCTGAAAGTTATTCTTCATTTATGACATTTTTTTCTGGCATTCCCATATGGCTGTCTTTTGTATGATTATTCATATTTCATATTTTTCTGCTAAAATTTCCATCTGCTTGTGAATGCTGTCTACTTTTCAAAAATAAAGTCTTGAACACATTAACTTCAGTTATATGAAAGTTCCAGTCTTATAGTTCCCACACATGAATCATCTTCTGGTCTTGTTGACTGTTCCATCTCTTGGCAACAAGTTGAGTTTTTTTCTTTGTCATTTTCTGACAGCATATTTATTTGAAAGTATCATAAGATTGAAGTACATAAATGCTTCTTTTATTTTTTCTTCAAATTTTTATTTTGTAAATAAATATAAAATATATAATTTTAATTATATTTCAGTGTACTATAATTTTAATTATATTTAAGTGTACAGCTCAGTGATATTAAATGCGTTCATATTTTGGGGCAACTAGGTCCACAATACATCTCCAGAATTCTTTTTGTCTTGGAAAACTGAAACTCTATACCCAGTGAATAAACTCCACATTCGCTCCACCCTCCAGGCCCTGGAAATCACCATTCTACTTTCTATAATGTTGACTACTCTAGCCGCCTCATATAAGTGAAATCATATAGTATTTGTCTTTTTGTGACTGGCTTAGTCCATTTACCCTAATGTCTTTGAGATTCATTCATGCTATAACATATGTCAGAATTGCCTTTCTTTTTAACATTGAACAACAATGTTCCATCATATGTACATACCTCATTTAGTTTACCCATTAATTCATAAATGTACACTTAGGTTGCTTCTGCATTTTAGAGATTGTGAATAATGCTGCTAGAAATATAATGTACAAATATCTCTTCAAGACCTTGCTTTCTGTCGTTTTGGTTGTGTACCTTGAAGTGGGATTGTTGGATCATATGCTAATACTCTTCTCATTTTTCTGAGAAACCACCATACTGATTTCCACAGTGACTGTACCATTTTACATTCCTACCATGAATGCACAAGAGTTCCAGTTTCTCCACATCCTATCCCACACTTTTATTTTCTGCCTTGTATTTTTTATAATAGCCATCCTAATTGGTGTGACATCATAATCTTGTGTTTTTTATTTGAATTTCCTTAATGATTAATGTTATTGATCATGTTTTCTTGTACTTATTTATTATTCATATATTTTCTTTGGATAAATGTTTATTCAAGTCTTTTGCCCTTTTTAAATTGTTTGTTTTTGTGGTTTTGTTGAATTTTAGAAGGTTTCTGTATATTCTGGATATCAGGACTTACTGTAACTTTCATTAATCAAGACAGTGTGATATGGATGAAAGAACAAATAGATCAATGAATCAAAATAGAGATCACAGAACTTGACCAATACAATTATGCATCACTTATTGACAGGAATACATAGGTACTGATAAATGCATCATTAGATGATTTTGTTGTTGTGCAAACATTATAGAGTGTGCTTACACAAACCTAGATGTTATAGTCAAATACTTGTCTAGGCTACATGGTACCCTCTACTGTTCCTTAGCTACAAATCTGTGCATGTTACTCTACTGAATACCTTAGGCAATTGTAACACAGTGGTCTAAGTATTTGTGTATATAAACACATAGAAGAGACAGAAGAAAAATATGATACAAAAGATAAAACATGATATATCTTTATAGGGCACTTAACGTGAATGGACCTTGCAGAACTAGAAGTTTGGATGAATCAGTGAGTGAGTGGTGAGTGAATGTGAAGCCCTAGACATTACTGTACATTATTGTAGACTTTATAAACACCACGCACTTAGGCTGCACTAAATTTATTAACAATTTTTCTATCTTAATAAATTAATCTTTGCTTACTGTACTTTTTTATTTTATGAACATTTATATTTTTTATTTTTTTATGGCTTCCTCACTAGAGGACAATTTCCTTTCATAAGTAAATATATTTTAGTCTTAACAATGTTACAGTCTAGAGAAAGCCTTAAGTCTATGAAAAAAAACCATGTTTTGCAAATAAGAAATATACTGAGACATAGAAGACCTGATGAAGGATAGTGATAAAAATAAATGGTCAGAGGAAATAGAAAAGACGGGGTGTCTTTCTCAAGTCTCCCAGGTGGAAGTCAATAGACAAGACATGGTGCTTTATCACAGCCTTTGAAATAAGGAGTATAAATGGTTTTCCACGTCCCTCTGTACTCCCTAATGAAAAATTAGTATAACATTCTTCCTTACTTCCATACCAGGTCCCTGCATCAAGATGAGAAATGACAATTTTTACTTAAAAAGGACGATAATGATTACAAAAATAAAATGAATAAGATCTAGTATTTGACATCACAACAGGGAGCCTACAGTCAACAATAATACATTGTACATTTTAAAAATAACTACAAGAGTATAATCGGAATGTCTGTAATACGAAGAAATGATAAATGCTGGAGGTGGTGGGAAAATAATAGGAAGAGATAGCTTATTTAAAAAATCATAAAAATAATATTTATCATGGCTGCTTAAATACTGGCTATTTCCATCGCTAGTGCCATTAGAGAAGCAGTATGGCATTGTTGCCTGTTTCTTACTTTGTTCATGGTGGTATTTTTCTGTTCCATCAATGGCATCCAGTATTTTTTAATAAAATATATGTTACCAAAAGGTAGCTGTAGTTTTGCCCATTTTATTGTCTATTATTTACTTGACAAGCTATACTTTTTCATTCTTTAATGTATATTTTAAAAAATATTTTAAAAGTTCATTTTAGAATTTTTTTGTTTGTTTTGTTTTTGTTGTTGTTGTTGTTTTTGATAGTGTTGCTGTGTTGGCCAGGCTGGAGTGTAGTGGCAAGATCATAGCTCAAGAATGATGTATTCTATTTCTAGTGTTTCCATTGTTTCGTTTATGGAAGCTTTAAAATGAGATATGGCACTTATATGTACGGTATATTTTCTAATTAATTGATAACAAAGTAGAAAGGGCCTTGAGAACAATGGCTTTATGAAATAATTAAATACAAAATTTTATTTTTTTAAAGTGTATAATATTGCATATCAGAATATTTATTAAATATGGTATTGGTTTAATTTACTTCTAGGAAATAGAGAAAATAAAAAAATCCTTAACTAAAATTAAGTGAAGAACTTCCTTAACCAAAGCCTAAACAAATAACTTTCTTTAACAGAAATTAGAGAATAAGATTCTAGTAAATATATTTCAGTCAGTATATGTTTGTTTCATTTCCTATATCTCATATGTATTCAATCCTGTGTGAAATATCTCAAATTAATGTTTAGGTTGATGCTGAATTGGGATGTGGAAAACATCAAGCCTGTTTAATTTGCGCAATTTAATGAGGAGGGACAGAGAACCAAGAATTTTAAATTGTTAAACATTAATATATAATAGGTCAGTGCAAAAGCCATTGCGGTTTTTGCAATTACCTTCAATGGCAAAAACCACAATGACTTTTGCACCAACCTAATATGTGCATATATAATATAAACTCATATATGTGTGTATATATTATATATATATACTTCCATCCACATGTGTCCAAATACATAGATGTGCATATACATCTATGTATATCATTGTACATGTGTAGTGGAGATATACATTTGAATCAGTTTCTTATTTACTTCATAATTAACTAAGTTTTAATCTCCTAGAGTGAGACTCTTTTGCCTTTATGAAGGTGAGATACGGAATGAAGCTACCTATCTATATTCTCATTAAATTATTAGTTTTCTCTGAAAATATAAAAAAATAGGGACTCTAAAGTATTTACTTTTCTTTTTTTGTTTGTTGAAAGACATATAAGTGGAAGAGGTTTATATGTTTTACCATAAAATGAAGATGAATACATTTTCAAATATGGCATTTTAACAAGAAGTGTTTTAAGCTCCATTGATCTTATATGATTCCCTTTATTTAGACTTTAACTTTTGAAAACAAAATCCTCACTAAGATGTTGGAGTAGTACTACTAATATGGGTAACATTTGGTTGTGTAAATATGAAGTATTGGTTGACATTTCAGTTAGCTATTATGTAAAAAACAACAGAAAATATTACTGGCACTCAGCAATAATTATTTATTTAGCTCGTGTGTGTCTCTGGGTCACCTCCAGAACAGCAAATCTAGCTTTGGCCCAGCTGGCATGGCTCTGTTGGGATACCTTGACTTCACATGTCACTCAGCCTCTAGTTGGTCTAGCAGGCAGCATAGGTATGTTGTACCCATGATGATAGCAACAGAGTAAGTGCAAGACCAGGTGCACAGTGTTGTATCTACTAATATACCAACATATCTTTAGCTTTGATCATTTCGGCAATTTGATTCAAAGCTTGCTTCTTCAGCGAATTATTTGTTATGTTCTATAGATTTTCATTTGTGTAATGTTTATTATTTTTCTTACCTTGAATATTTATTACTGTTCTATGGCCTTATGTAAGTTATTTTATATTTTGTTAATGTCTGATGCCATTTAAATTTTATGAAGTATTAAACAAGATTCTTTTTTTTTTACAGAGTTTTGCTCTTGTCACCCAGGCTAGAGTGCAGTGGCGCGATCTTGGCTCACTACAACTTCTGCCTCCTGGGTTCAAGCGATTCTCCTGCCTCAGCCTCCCTAGTAGCTGGGACTGCAGGCACTCGCCACCATGCCCGGCTAATTTTGTATTTTCAGTAGAGATGGGATTTCACTGTGTTGGCCAGGCTGGTCTCAAATTCCTGACCTTAGGTGATCTGCCCACCTCGGCCTCCCAAAGTGCTGGGATTACAGGCATGAGCCACTGTGCTGGGCCTAAACCAGATTCTTTAAAAAGAACCAGTAATCTTTAGTTTAGAAACTGATCATTTCCCATTTGATTAAAACAACTTTACTTTAGAATATGAAAGCTTAGTCAAGGGAGAACACACTCAATTCAACGTGAACAAACATTAGCCCGGGATTTCATGAGGCATTACAAGAAAAATAAAATTATCGAATTTCTCAGTTGTTCATTTTAATGTTCATCAATCCCAGTGAAAGGAGCTATATTCTTATGTCTAAGTTACATATCTCATGTCACAATAACTGAAATAGTAATTAATAATTATTGAATAATATCCAACATTCCAAATGCTATGTTAAGCAATCTGTATGCAATGTCTTATTAATTTTATATAACAAGTCTACTCAGTAGATATTATTTTTATCTTTAGACATATAGAAAGGTTGCCGAAGTGACAAAGCTGATAGGTGACAGAATCAGGCTATAAATCAAGGCAGCAGACTCTTTTGAGAACTTGTGCTGTAAACAATATGCCTAAATCTATTTTTATAATTTTAGGAAAAATTTTATTTTTATATAATTAATTGATTTTAATTCATGACTGAAGAAAATCTGAATGTTACAAAAGTATGTAGATTAAAAAGGGAAAATGTCTTTCATCCTACCCCAGTTATGATCTACATTAAGAAATAACTACTTTCCGTGTGATTTTATTTTACATTATTTTCTATATTTTCACCTACAAACAAGTGTTTGTATATATTCATATAGAAATGATTCGTTTTCAGTTTTTTATTCAAAATAAAAATGATTTAATAAACATCGTATACCTTCTCCTTCATAAATATATAATGTGTGTGTGTGTGTGTGTGTGTTGGGGTGGGGGATACATACATACAGGATACATATCCAGAAGTGAGAAGTGAATTTATTAGTTAATAGGATGCAGAGATGATTGCCTACTTAACATTCATTCTCCTCTTTTTGCTTGCAGAATTCCAGTTGTTTTGGAAGTGGTAATGTAGCCATCTTAAAATAAATACATTTCTATTTCAGTATGTAAGTAGATTGGAAGTTTTAACTCCATCATCCCAACAAGAAGAAAAGCAAAATAAACTAAAAATCAACAAATCTTAATCCATCAAAGAACTGAGTTCACAGGGCAAGTTGCCACCCTGAAAACCAGAGAGAAATGTGAATACAAACAAACAGATTTCTGGAAACAGAATCCTCCACTGGAGTCTGGCAGAAATCCATAAAGGGTAACAAACATGGAGTAGCTTTAGAAATTAAAGCTCCTGAGGGCCCAGCCTTTGTGGAACCTTCACACTGGCATGGGTTTCACCTCTGGGAGTCCTACCAGTTCTCAAAATGAAGATCAGGAAAAAATCATCTTGTGCTTCATGTAGGGTAAAGGGGAAAGAAATTTTGAAAGAAGCCAAAAATAATCAACAAAATCCTGCCGCTAGTAAACTATGTCATCAGAGTCTAACCACTTGGGTTTTAACAGATCCTAACCAACCCAGGGGAAGAATAATTATCCAGCAGAAAAACCCTAAGGATACAGTTGAACAGCACAGTCGATCAACTGGATTTAATTGGCATGGATAGAATATTGCCTCTAAAAACACCAAAATACATATTTTTTCTCATGCTCGTATGGGATACTCACCAAGATTGTCAACATTCTGTAACATAGAGCACACTTTAACTTTTTAAAGGAATAGAAATCGTAGAATGTAGAATTAAACCACATAGAATTAAACAAGAAATCAATAACAGAAAGATGGGAAATCTTAAGAAAATTTTGAGATTAAAAAACACATTTCTAAGTAACACATTGATCAAATAAAGTTTCAAAACAAACTGATTCGAAAGTTTATACAAAAGGCAAAAGACTAGAAAAGCCAACACAATATTGAAGAAGATAGAAGTATGAGGACTGATACTATGTGACCTCAAGACATCATATAAAGCTTCATTAATCAAGACAGTGTGATGTGGATGAAAGACAAATAGATTTATGAAACAAAATAGAGACCAAAGAACTAGACTCGTACAAATACAATTATGCATTGCTTATTGACAAGGATACATATGTACTGAGAAATGCATCGTTAGGCAATTTTGCTGTTGTGCAAACATCCTAGTATATACCTACACAAACCTAGATGGTATGGCTGAATACACACTCAGACTATATGGTATCCTCTATTGTTCCTAAACTATAAATCTGTACATATTACTCTACTGAATACTGCAGATAACTGTAAAACGTGGTAAGTATTTGTGTATCTAAACACATAGAAAAGATACAAGAAAAATATGATACAAAAGGTAAAACATGATGCATCTTTATAGGGCACTTACCATGAATGGAGCTTGCAGAACTAGAAGTTTGTATGGATGAGTCACTGTTGAGTGGTGAATGAATGTGAAGCCCTAGACATTACTGCACATTATTTTAGATTTTGTAAACACTGTGCACTCAAGTTGCACTAAATTCATTAACACTTTTTCTATATTCAATAATAAATTAACTGTAGCTTACCGTACCTTTTTACTTTATAAACTTTCATGTATTTTTTAATTTTTTGACTATTTTGACATAATGCAGTAAATGCAGAGATGATGTAAAACAGAAACATATTGTACAGCCATACAAAAATATTTTCTCCATGTGTATTCTTATTCTATAGGCCTTCTTCCATTTTAAATTTAAAAATTTTTTTTTTACTTTTTAACTTTTTTTGGTAAAAACTAAACACAAATACACACATTAACTTAGGCCTACACAGGGTGAAGACTGTCAATATCATTGGCTTTCGCCTTCAATCTTGTCCTACTGGAAGGACTTCAGGGGCAATAATATGTATGGAGCTGTAATGTCCTGTGATAACAATGCTTTCTTCTGGAATACTGCCTGAAGGCCATGTCTGAGGCCATTTTATAGTCAATATGTTTTTATGAGTAGAAGGGGCAAACTCTAAAATAACAATAAAATGTATAGTATAGTATATTAAATAATATACCATAGTAGGATAGAAGTTTATTTTTATTATCAAGTATTATATACTGTATATAATTATATGTGCTATGCTTTTATATGCCTGGCAACACAGTAGGTTTGTTCATATAATTATCATCACAAACAGGTGAGTAATGCCTTTTGTTAAGACATTATAATGGTTACAACATCACCAACAATAGGAATTTTTCACTCCATTATAATCTTAGGGGGCCATCATTGTATATTCCATGTGTTATTCACCAAAACGTTATGTAACACATGAATGTATAGAGTGATCTTTGATAAAAGAGCAAAGGTGATTCAATGGAAAAGGATAGTATTTTCAACAAATGGTGCTGGAACAACTGGACATCCAGATGCAATAATTTGCTGTATATTTTCAAAAAGGTAAAGAGAAGATTTTGAATGTTCCCAACATAAAGAAGTGATAAATGTTTAGGGTGATCGATATGTTAATTATCTTGATTAGATCATTGCACATCATATATATGTAACAAAATAGCATTCTGTATCCTATAAATATGTGCAGTATTATGCCAGCTAAAAATAATAACTATATATTAATATATAGTTAATATATATTAATATATATTAATATATGTTAATATATAGTTAATATATATTAATATATATTTATATATGTTAATATATATTAATATATAGTAATATATATTAATATATAGTAATATATATTAATATAATAAATATATATTATATTTATATATTATATATATAATACAATGATCTTACATTTTTCACAAAAAATTCAAGTCACAGACCTAATATAAAATGTAAACCTACAAACTTCCTTGAAGATAGGAGTTCTAGATGACCCTGAGTTTGGCGATGACTTTTAGAAACAATACCATAAGTATAAGAAAAAAACAAATTAGACTTCTTTCCATTGAAAAACAATCTATTAAAGACATTCTTCAGAGAATGATATGACAAGCTGCAGACTTGAAAAACTAGTTGCAAAACACATACCTGTTAAAGTACTGATACCTAAAACTCATAACTCCAAACCTTATTACCTCAGTCTAATTATGAGAAAAACATCAAAGAAATCCCAATATAGGGACATTACACAAAACATCTGTTCACTACCCTCAAAACTGTCAAGGTCATAAAATAAGAAGTCTGAGAAACTGTCAAAACAAAAAGAGTCTAAAAAGACCAGATGATCAAATGTAATATTATATTCTGGATTGAATCTTACAGAAAAAATGCATTAGGTTAAAACTTAAAAAGGTAATTAAGTTAATAAGTTAATAAAGTTATAAAATTAATAAAATTTTATTAATTACGTTAATAATATGTAATACATTAATATTAAGAAAGTTAATAATAGTTAATAATAATTGTTCCTTATTGTCTCTTTAATTGTAACATATATATCATACTAATGTAAGATGTTAATAATTGAGGAAACTGGGTGTGGAGTATGTGAGAACTCTCTTGACTACCTTCATAACTTTTCTGTAAGACTAAAACTTTTTAAAATTTAAAAGTTTATTGAAAAATTCAACTATATAAAATATGCATAGGCATTTTGCTAAATATGTTGATTTTTATTTAAAAATTATTGATTGAATGATGCTATCACTTATAAAGTGTATCCTATTTTTGAAATATGAAAAAAGTTTTCAATTACTTCTTGACTCGTTTTCAATTACTTCTTGACTCTTTTCCATTGCCCTTACAATAAACTCTAGTACCTTCAATTTAGATTAGAAGGCCTTCTAATTTAGATTTTAGATTAGAAGGCCTTCTTATGTCTATGAGTGTCCAACATTATCTGTCAACAAGACCCTTCTTGATTTCCTCTCCCAGGCCAACCTTCTTATTTCACACTTGTCCTCCTAACTCCTCTCATCTTCTGCTTTACCTACCTCTGTTCCACAACCTGTTATATTTTACATTCTTTAAGAAAACAAGGCATTCAGACCAAATGTTTTTTCCCTTTGAAAATGTTTGCAGCAACTTCACTTAGCACACATCCATATAGAACTTAGTTAAAATGTCATATAATCAGAATGTTCTTTTCTTCCATTTGTCTGCCAGACAAGATAAGATCACCTCATCAATTGCCCCCATAGCACTCTTTGCCTCTCCTTTCTTCATATAGTTGAAATTGTAATTTCTTGATAACATTCTGGTTACACTGGGACCAATGTACTCCATAAGGCAGAAGCAACCTTTGTTTCTCTTTCTCTCACTCTCTCCCTCTTTTAGTGATCCTGTTCCTAGAGTCTGGAGCATATCTAACATGAGTAAATGATGAATAAATATTTTTCTTGAACTAATAAATTAACAAATAAAATAATCCACTGGCAGAATGTGTAATATGAAAAAAGACAGACAATATTCACTTCCAGATGTTAACTTGGAAGATGCCACCAATGAAGATAGGAGTTAACTAGAGTGATCACGTATATCCCAAACTGACTTATTCATTCAAATCTGTGAAGAATCGTTCTGGTAAGAACTCATTTGTAATGGTAAGTAAAAGTAGTCCTCTCACATATGTGTTAACATTTTAAATTATTTTTATTTTCATACGTTATTGGGGAATAGGTAGTGTTTGGTTAAATGAGTAAGTTCTTTAGTGGTGATTCGTTAGATTTTGGTGCACCCATCACCCAAGCAGTATACACTGCACTCAATTTGTAGTTTTTTATCCCTCACCCACTTCCCATCCTTTCCCCCGGAGTCCCCAAGGTCCATTCAGTCATTCTTATGCCATTGCATTCTCACATTGATGAAATCTGTTAAAAGCTTTCAATTATTCTTTAATTGTGGCATGAAGCTATAAATTTCCTTTAAATGAGGCTACAAATACTGCAATAATACATCTTATGAATTAACAAAAATTATGTCCAAATTTTGCCTCAGAAAGTAAATACTTTACTTGGAAATATTAGAGGGAATAACATAAACTTATTAGGAATAATATATCAATTCAGAAAATATAACTGATTTTAAATTACTTAAATCTAGAGTATGTGAAGTAATCTAAAAGAACTACATATTACCATTGAAAAATAGAACTCTTCAAAATTAAATAAAGTTTTAAAATATTTTGAACAACACAACCTAAATAAATCTCAGCATCTTCAAACACCTTTCTCATATATAAAAACAGAAATTGAAAGTATGTTATTGTTCTCCCATTCTGGAATTTCACCATTAAGACTATTTCATAATTTAAGTACCTTAGAGAGGCAATCTTCTTCATTTTCCCCCCAATATTTAATAAGTACTTCTCAAAACAAGCTAAATGATATAGAATATGTGAAAATGTATCTGACAGTCTCTTGCCCAATAAACTCAGAGACTGTTAGGACTTCTAAGACACTTTATGAATAGAATACACTTTACCTAATCAAAATTACAATAGGAAAACAAAAAGTTTCTCCAGGAAATTAGAAGGAAGAGGAATTATTTATACATGTGGGCAAGAGACAGGTTACAGAAAAGACTAGAAGCAATAATAATGGTTAGTTTATACTAAATCCTAAGCAGATATAATGACATTAAATTGATGAAAATGGAGTAATTAACAAAGTTTGTAAAAGAGAACAGAGTCAGAGAAGAATATGAGCAACAAGACAAAGATATTAGCTATCCGTATAGATATAACCACACATATACTTAGAGATGTGGTGACATATACATATATATTTTTTGATGTTTTAGGTCATTTAGTATATCTAGATATTGTACATATTTAAATCTTTAACAATAACATGAACCATATGTGATAATTTATAGGCTAAGTGTCTGTGCTATTTCTTCCAAATACACAGTGAATGTTCATCCATCTATGTAGTCTTTACCAGGCTTCCCTTAGGAAACATATTGCTGATGGTACTATATGAGATAAAAAGTTCAGTAGGTCAGCTAAAACTCATGAATTAATGTCTAAAACTTTATGACTTGCCTCTAAATCCCTCTGCTCATGTTTTGCATCAGACTTTAAATTTTCATCCTATAAATAGTGGTCATAAAATGTACATTAAATGGAATTTTGACCTGTGTCTAAAATATTTTATTTCATGGTATACTGGAAAGGGAATGAAAGCAACACTGGTAAGATGTCACAGGAATTTTGGGATGTAGAATTATTTAGCCAGGGATGCAGCTTTTGGGAGGTTAAAGCCCTGGGGCAACTTCCCTGGATAAACTATGTAAGGTTGATTCTGAGGCAATGTAAGAAATCAGGATATAGTTCCCTTAATCTCAAGGAATGCGGTAAAGTGGTGTCTCTGTCTTGTGGATTCTGCTTATCCTTTTTAAAATCAATGTTTGCATCTCAATCACTACAAGCTCTTCCTTCTCTACACATCCACATCCCTATCATGGATACAAAGGGTTTATTAAAATCATTTTAATGATTTCAGGCACTTGACAACAAAAAGTAAGTGGATAGATTTGTTCTCACCTCCTTATTCATTATTACATGAAATCCTATTTTAGACAGCAAAAAAGAAACACTGAACTCTGCACATTTCTTGAGATTTAGAAGATAACATAAAATCTCAAAAACATTCCATCCTATAATCCTAATCTACAAGAATTTACCATTCTATGAGAACAGGTTTTAATATTTGCTAAATTCTCATAATTTTATGAATAAAAATTATTGTATTACTGGAGTTTCTGATAACTTTTCAATAATATCTTTTAAAATATCTGTCACTTAATACTTAGAAAAGTTGCACTTTTTAGATACACAAACATGTAGTTAAAATTTAGTTATTGTTTAGAAAAATTGCAATGTTACCAGTGCTTATCAAAGTTCTAGGGTTATTTATGGTCATTAGGTATTGGATTTCTTAATTTTTGTCATAAATTTTTGTAATGCATTACAGATATTTTAAATATTAGTTAAGCCTATATAATAATGGGTGGTAGGTTTACAATAAAGCTATATTATGCCTTTTTCTAATATTTCAGACATGTATGCATTGTAATTCAAGTGAATCATTGTTGCCAAACAAGCTGTAAACATTATTCCTAATTTTTTGTATGTAAATGTGAATTAACTAATAATGTATTGATCAGTTTTATATTAATTAGATACTGTGAAGGCTGTTAGAAACTGATGAACATATATGATGGCAAAAGGGATTTTTTAAAATGTTGGAACTATTCATTATCTTGGCTGTGAAGGCATGTACAAGAACCTAAACTAATAATAAAATTTTATGAAGCTTAATTCACACACACACACACACACACACACACCCCAATATAAGTAAAACTGAGGAAATCTGAATACTGAATTTACATACTGATAGGTAATCTGATCATAATATTTAATATCATATATGAAGGAGTATTATGACACAAACACATTATTTCACACACACAAACACATATTTACATACACAAATATACTAACATACACACAAATGAAGACACTAAAGAAAGAAATCTTAGAAAGTATTGATATTTACAATTATAATCATTTTGATTTCAAATATGTTGGCAAATAAATGTACAAGTGTTTTTAAAGAACTCTTAATAAAATGAGTCCAATACATAAAACCAAATTTCAGAGATCAGTAGGAAATAATCCAACTGTGAGAATTCAAATCATACCTATTTTCCAACTAAGTTTCTAAGCCTCTTCAGCATTGCTCTCAAATCCCCTTTATTTTCTTTAAAGGGTATTGTAAATCCCACTGTATTAAGCCAGTAACATATAGTTGAATCAATTGCATTAGTCAACTATTCAATTAAATGTACAAAACATATTGAACACATAAAAAACAAAACCAATATGTTTTCTGATGTTAAGAATTCAGGGAATTCAAAAAGAGATTAATATGTGCCAAAGGATACTGTAGTTTACATTGATTTATAATTGATTAAATGTCCAAAGAGTCTTGCCCAGTGTATTAAAATTTGTAGTGAATCTTCGGCTAGTGAACACCCTTTTTTTAAATTCTCGCCTATCATAATTGTTTAAAACTAACTTTATGACAACTTTTATGTTATGTTGATCAACTTTAGAAATAACCCAGAAATAGGGTGATTTTAAATACGTTGAATGATTAGGAAATATGTAGTTAAACTTAACATACAAACAAAATCACATCCAGAGAACATTAACGGTAATATAAAGTCTTGAATTTAGGTTAAACATGAAGTTGTATAATAGAAGTTGGAGAAACACAGTTAAAGAAATGTTTGCATTTAAGAATTTGGGTAAATTTACTGCCATCAAAGCTCAATGAAAGTTGGTCTAGATGAGGAAAACAATTTCTATAGCCAGGGTATTCACTGATAATCTTGCTGTATTTTATTTCTGCTCAACTTTCTGATGCTTGGACCCCAACTGAAGGAATATATTCAATTTTGGAACCCAAGAATTAAAAGAGGTATTCACAAATTATAACACGTAAATAACAATGTGGTCAGAATGATGACTATGTAGTCAGTATTCAAATTCATCTTATTTGAAGACCAGTGGAAAGGACTGGAGTTGGTAAGTCCAACTGGAAGGGCCCAGGGGAAACTAGAATAGTTTGTTTAAAATGTCTGGTATGCTTCACGAAAAAAGATAAATTAGACGTGATCAGAAGCAGGGCTATACAGTATATTCTAGTGATTATGGAAAAGTTCTGTATCTGTACTATCCAATATGAGAGGCACAAGATACATGTGGCTATTTAATGCTCGCAATTTGGCTATTGTGACCAAGGAACCTATATCTTTGTATTCCCAAAAGCTCTACTGTGGTTGAGGTTTAAATTCAATAAGAAAAGCAAAACCAATTTACTAAACAATAAAGTTACATACACATGTAGATTTTTACCATTAAAGAAAGTTTATATAAAATATTATTATTGATATTTTTGCTTTGATGAACTTGACTGGTAAACAGTGTGTATACATTTTCTTATTTCATTATTTCAAAATAGGGATTCATTGTAAATTGTAATTCTTTCTTTAGATACTCAATACTAAATAATTTTAGAGCACTATTTGCTGTGAAATAGTTTTTTTCCAAAATTGCTTCACTTAAAATATTTTTCTATATACAAATGAGTGATATACATTATTATCCTTTTGGAAACTAAATGAGTATTAAAATATACATTTTATTCTACTCCAATTTTAATACACTTGCAGAGGCTTATACTTCTTAATATGTTATATTGTCAATAGAGTTAAAATATTAGAAAATATTTTCTTAATAATGACATTCCATCAGTAGTAACACACTATTCATAGGAATTTTCAAAATTCTCAAGTACTAGGTTAATTTTCTTTTTACTTGCTATGTTTCTGAGCTTCTAAAAGACCTCATTGTCAAAAGTGGAATCAGCAAGATGGTCGAGTGGTAGCTCCCAGCACTCTTCCCTGCCACACACAAAAAAACAAAACAAATAAACAACCGTATTTAAACTAAATTAACTAATAAAAAGTACCAGGGAACAGCAAAGAAGAAGCAGAAATTCTGTAGAGCACAGAAACCCAGCACAGCCTCATATAGAAGGAAAAATTTAAAAAACAAACACCTAGCCTCTGCCATCCTATTCCCCGTAGTTGGGATCAGCTTGAAACCAGGAGGGACTTCTCCCTAAAGGGAAAAGGGAGACAAGAAGAACCCAGAAGCCTCCATTATCGCTGTGGACCCCTTCAGTCGCTGCTACTGGAGTCCCCTACTGTCCTCAAAGGTTCTTAGCCCAGCTGAGGGAGCTCTCCAAAGCCAAAACACTGAGCCATCCCCAGAGAAGAGGTCAATGCTGTGCCCCACCCACCTTCATATCTCCTCCCATGGCCTGTGCTGTCACTTGTCTGTGCCATCTTGGAACTTAAGCCACTGCTAGAGTGTGTCCTGCTCTGGAGGTGAGTAGTTATCAGATTCCTCAATCTCTGAGTCTCATTGTTGCTTCATCATGCCTGTGAATTAGCATACCATCTCCAAGCATAGCTGTTGTTATGCCCTAAGGCCAAGCTGCTGCATAGATGTTTCATCTACTCCATCCCAGTCACTGCTGCAACCTCTCCTCAGGAGTGAGCTGAAGTTTTGTGCATGCCTGGGAAGCCAGAGCCTCATCACAAACTACCAGAGCAGTCCATCCTTGGGCCCAGAGCAGATATGGTACCCTGTCTCATTGCAACCTCAAGTCTCCTGCACACTGGAGGAGATTCATCTCCCAGCACTGCAGCTGATGTAGTGCCCCACCTCCCAGGGATCCAGAGACTCCACTGACCTGTGGAGTTGTACTTTCTGGGGCCAAGTAGATGCAATGCCTGGTATCCCAGGGAATCAGAGCTTTGGTGGAGCTATGCTACCCTCACCTCCAGGCTGAACAGCAACAATGCCTCACCTACCTAGAACTGGCCTAGAACTGGACTAACTCCCAGTCTGAACTGCTGAGGAACTCTGCCTTTCTGGGTAATAGTTATTGCTGCACTCTTCCTCAAAACCCATGACCCAAGGCAAAGCAGCATCTGGCCTTTCCTGGGTCCTTGGTGTTGCTACACCTGGCCTCACAGAGTCTGAGCTACTACTAGGTCACACCAGGCCAAGGTCCAGAGTCACCACCACATGGTCTGTCATCCCTTGTAGCCTGAGCTGTTCTATTGTGCCCTGTTGGTTTCAGGTCCTAAATTGCATCTCCAGCTCCCTGGAGACTAAGTCTTCAGACACTTCTGAGCCCAAGCTGCCAAAGTATGCCTCAGAAAAACTGACCCTAGAATAGTGAAAAAAAAAATTTATTCACTTGTGCTTGGGAGAGTGAACCTAAACCTCAAGTCCCAAGTGCTGCAGTAGTTCCATTAAAACTTGGCACTACAAGCACCAATGTCCTGGATCCCAATGCAGCTTCTACAGCCTATGAGCCATGTTAGCCCCAATACCAAAAGATATCTCCTCAGTTAAGACTCTCCACTGTGAGGAAGACAAGATCAAGAGAACTCACAAAGCCCTGGCCCTAATAACAAATGCAGTCACTGTCACTGCACAAAGTTCTGCAACCTAGACCACCCACAATTGTCATTAATGTTGATAGCAACTAAATAAGTTGCCCAAAGACTACATCACTGAACTCACACATAGCAAAAGCTACTGCACCCTGTCCAACCTGCATGCTCAGGCCTAACTTCAAATGAAAGTCTTCCTGTACAAAAACCACACTAAAGTTTGGAAGAGGTGACTGCTCCAACAGATCCACAGCCATTAACACAGGAATACATGGAACTTGAAAAAGCAAGGAAATATGACACGACCAAGGGACCTCAAAAGTCTACAGTAACTGACCACAACGAAAAAGAAATTTACAAATTGCCTGAAAAGAAATTTAAAATGATGATCTAAATGAAACTCAGCAAGCTACAAGAGAATATAAAAAGACATCTCAGTGAAATAAGGAAAACAATTCATGATGTGAATGATAAATTTAACAAAGAGATAGATACCATAAAAAAAAAGAACCACAGAACTTGGAGTTAAAGTATTCATTCAAGGAAATATATATAGGAGAGCTTCAACAGCAATCTAGATTAAACAGAAGAAAGAGTCTATAAACTTGAAGATAGGTCTTTGGAAACAACTTAGAAGAAAAAACAGAAAAAAATTAATGAAAAAGAATGGAGACTGACTATAGGTCTTATGAAACACCATTAAGCAAACCAATGTTCTTTTTATGAGAAGTAAGGAGACAGAGAAAGGGACAGAAAGTTTACTTATAATGAAAACTTCTTTAGTCTTGGGAAAGATATGAACATCAAAATCCATGAAGCTTAAAAGTTTCTAAATAGACTCAAACCGAACAGGTCCTTTCCAAGGAATATAATTAAACTCTCAAAAATCAGTCCCATGCAGAGAATTTAAAAAACAGCAAGAGAAAACAGTTAAGCCACATATAATATCCATTAGACTATCAATGCATTTCTCAGCAGAAACCTTATGGGCTAGGAGAAATAGGATATATTGAAAGTACTGCAAGAAAAAACAATGACCTTCAGCCAAGAATACTATATCTAGTAAAGCTTTCTTTCAGAAATAAGAAGTAAAGTCTTTCACACAGAAACAAAAGCCAAGAAAATACATTATCATTAGATCTGACTTACAAGAAAAGCTTAAGAGAGTCCTGCAAACAAAACCAAAGAATGTTATTACCATGAAGACATGTGAAAGTATAAGAGTAACTGGCAGAAGTAAATACAGAGTCAAGAACAGAGTATTTCAATACTATAATAATGGTATGTGAATCTTATATGTCTCTAGTATAAAGTGAAAAAGTCAGAATGATCAAAAATAACTAAAGCTATAATAAGTTTTAAGAAAAACACAATATAAAATATGTAAATAGTGTTATTAAAAACATAAATTGTGAGGAGGAGGGTAAACTTCTAAAGTCTTTGTATATGACAGAATTTGTTAACCATGGAAAAAA
Source organism: Homo sapiens (assembly GCF_000001405.40). NCBI lineage: Eukaryota > Metazoa > Chordata > Mammalia > Primates > Hominidae > Homo > Homo sapiens. The sequence continues at coordinate 56,014,804 of NC_000010.11, forward strand.
GCAGATTACAACTATAAGATGTTTTATGTAAACTGATGGTAACCATGAAACAAGAAAACTGCAGCAAATATACAAACAATAAAGAGAAAGAAATAAAAGCTTAGAACTACAAAATATTATCTAATCACAAAGGTGGACTAGCAAATAATAAAGATATAAAGAAGCAAAAAAGCAACAAAATAACTAGGAAACATACTATAAAATACCTAGCAGCATGTTTTTAACTATCAATAATACAATAATATCTTAAATATAAATGGAATGAATTCTCCAATCAAAACATGTAAATTAGTTTAACCATTGTGAAAGATGGTGTGGTGATTCCTCATATATATATGTGTGTGTGTGTGTGTGTGTATATATATATATATATATATATATATGATTGAACTATATTCTGCTTACCAGAGACTCACTTAAACTTAAAAGACACATACAGGTTGAAAGTTAAAATGGGAAGATAATCCATACAAATGCTAACCAAAAGAGAGCAGAGGTGGCTATACTTACAAGTGATTAAATAGACTTCAATTCAAAAACGGTTGCAAAAGACAAAGAAGGTCATTGTTTAATTATATAGGGGTGAATTGATAAAGAGGACATAACCAATTGTGTCCCTCAAATTGAAGCACCTAAATACATAATGCAAATATTAATGGACATAAACAAAGAAAGAGATAGCAAGACAATAATATGAGAAGACTTAAGGACCCCACTTTCAACAAGGAATACATCAACAGACAGAAAAGTAATAAGGAAATATTGAACTTCAATTGCATTTTTAATCAAATGAACCTAATAAATATATACAGAACTTTCCATCTAACAGTAGCAGAATATACATTTTTTTTCCAGTGTAAATATAACATCCTTCAGTTTGGACCATGTTAGGTAACAGAAGAAGTATTAACAAATTTAAGATTACAATTATATCTAGTATCATTTCAGATACAATGCTATAAAACTAGAAATTAACAACAGCTGGAGTCTTGAAAAATTAACAAATATGTGAAATTAAACAGCATGCTTCTGACAAACCAATGGGCCAAAGAATATATCAAAAAAAAATTAAACAATATATTGAGGCAAATGACAATAGAAGCAAAACATACCAAAACCTATGAAATGCAGTAAAAGCATTTCTAAGAGGGAAGTTTATCACAACAAATGTCTATATTAAAAACAAACATTCTAAATATATAATCTAACATTATATATCAAGGAACTAGAAAAAGAACAAAACTAAAAAATGAACTCAAAATTAACAGACAGAAGTAAATAATAGAAGTCAGAACAGAAATAAATAGAAAACAGAATAACATGTAAAAAAAAAAGGTCAGCATCACTGATCATTAGAGAAATGCAAATCAAAACCACAGTGGGATACCATCGCATGCCAGTCAGAATGGGAATGATTAAAAAGTCAAGAAACAACAGATGATGGCAAGGTTGTGGAGAAATAGACATGCTTTTACACTGTTGATGGAAATGTAAATTAGTTCAACCATTGTGGAAGATGGTGTGGCAATTCCTCAGGGATTTAGAATCAGAAATACCATTTGACCCAACAATCTCATCACTAAGTATATACCCAAAGGGATATAGATCATTCTATTACAAAGATACATGCATGCGTATGTTGATTGCAGCACTATTCACAATAGCAAAGACATGAAATCAACCCAAATGCCCTTCAAAAATAGACTGGATAAAGACAATGTGGTCCATACACACCATGGAATACTATGCAGCTATAAAAAGGGATGAGATCATGTCCTTTGCAGGAATATGGATGGAGCTGCAAGCCATTATCCTCAGCAAACTAATGTAGGAACAGAAAACCAAATGCCACATGTTCTCATTTATAAGTGATAGCTGAACAATGAGAACACATGGACACAGGGAGGGAAACAACACACACTGGGGCCTGTCAGGAGGTGGGGTGGGGGCAGGGAAAGCATTAGGAAAAATAGCTGATGCATGCAGGGCTTAATCCTAGATGATGGATTGACAGGTGCAGCAAACCACCATGGCACATGTCAACTTATGTAACAAACCTGCACATGCTGCACATGTACCCAGGAACTTAAAATAAAAATTAATAAAAAGAAAAGAAAACCATAGAAATAATCAATAAGATTAAGAGTTGGCTTTTCGAAAAATAAACAAAATGGATCGAACTTTAGGTCGTCTGACTAAGAAAAAAGGAGCAAAGTCTCCATTAAATAACATAAAAAATGAAAATGCAGAAATTGCTATAGATACCTAAGAAATTTAAAAAGTTTATAAAGGACTATTATGAACAATTATATGCCAACTAATTGAATAAACTAGAGAAAGTAGATGAATATCTAGAAAAATACAACTTACCAAAATTTAGTCAGGACAAAATAGAAAGCCAGAAAAGATATAAAGAGATGAAAAAGTAATCAGAACCTCTCCTCCCATCAATAAGAAAAACTCCAAGACCAGATGTGTTTACAGTAGAATGCTACAAAACATTCAAAAAATAATTACTAACAATAGTTTTTAAAACTTTTCCAAAAAATTGAGCTAGAAAAACACACTTTCAAATACATTTTGAGGTCAGCATCACCTTGATACCTCAGCCAGCCGAAGACATCACAGAAAACATAACTACCAGTAAATTTCTCCGATGAACATAGTTGTAAAAATCCTCAAGTAAACATTAGCAAGCTGAATCCAATAACACATCAAAAGCATTACACATCATGATCAAGTGGGATTTATCATTGGCATGCAAGACTGGTTTGACATATGCAAATCATTTATTATGAAAAAACACATTAGCAGAATTAATGATAAATACATATAATCATCTTAATTGACACAGAAATAGTATTAAATTCCAAGATCCTTTCTTGACAAAAACTCTCAACAGTTATTATATAAGAGAAAAGTTGCTCAACACAAACAAAGGCCATTTAAAGAAACCAGAGGTAACATTATAATCAGTGGAAACATACTGAAAACTTTTCCATAAAAATCTAGTACAAAGCAAGGATGCCCACTCTTGACACTTCTGGTCAATATAGTACTGAAGTAATAGCACATGCAATCAGGCAAGTAAAATAAATAAAAGTGATCCAAATTAGAAAAGATAAAGTAAAATTATCTTTTTGCAAAGGACATGATCCTGTATGTAAAAAAAACCCGCAAAGACTCCATATAAAAACTGTTAGAAGTAATAAAAGAATTCAGTAAAGTTGCAGGATACAAAATCATCATAAAAAATCAGTAGTATTTTCATACTCAAAGATGATCTAATTGAAATATAAATTTTTAAAATACCATTTACAGTAACATCCAAAAAATAAAATAAAATATCAAGAAATAAATTTATCCAATGAGTTGAAAGATCTATGTACTAAAAATTTCAGAAAATTGATGCAAAAAATTGAAGAAAACAAAAATAAATGGAATAATATCTCATATTCTTAGATTGGAAGAATTAATATTGTTAAAATGTCCACACTACCCAAAGCAATGTACAGATTTAATTCAATCTCTATCAAAATATCAATGGCATTTTTCACAGAAATTGAAAAAAATCCTACAATTTTTGTGAAATCTTAAAGACCTCAAAGAGCCAAAACAAATGTGGGAAAGAAAAACAAAGTTGGTGGCATAGCCCTTCCAGATTTAAAATTGTATTTTAAAGTTACAGTAATCAAACCAGTATGGTACTCACATAAAAACAGAAACATAGACCAGTGGAATAGAATAGAGAGCCCAGAAAGAAATTCAAACATATACAGTCAACTAATTTTTGACAAACACCTTAAGATAATGCAATGGGAACGTAATAGTCTCTTCAATAAATGGCACCTGTAAAACTGGATTTCCACAGGCAGAAGAGTGAAATTGGACCCTTTATTACACTAGTCACAAAAATCAATTTAAAACAGATAAAAGGCCTAAATATAAGACCAGAAATTATAACACTTCTGAAAGAAAACACAGAGAAAAAGCTCCTGGACATTGGCCTTGGTAATGATTTTTTGGATATTACAACAAAACCTCAAGCCAGAACAGCAAAAATGGCTGAATGGGACAACATCAAGCTAAAAAGCTTCTGTATAGCAAAGAAAATAATTAGCAAAATGAAATGGCAGCATAGGGCTGGAAAAATATTTGCAAACCATATATCGGATAAGGAATTTATATCCAGAATGTACACAGAACTCATGGAATTCAGTACTAGAAACACAAACAACATGATTATAAAATGAATAAAAGACCTGAATAGATATTTCTTCAAAGAAGACATTAAAATGGGTAACAGGTATATGAAAAGCCACTCAACATCATTAATCATCTAGGAAATGCAAATCAAAACCACTATGAGATACAACCTCACATCTGTTAGGATGGCTATTATCAAAAAGTCAAAATATAAATGATGGCAAGGGTGTGGAGAAGAGAGAACGAGAGAACCGTTGTGTACTGTTGGCAGGAAGTAGATTGGTACAACTGTTAAGGAAAACAGTGTGGAGGTTTCCAAAGTAATTAAAAGTAGGACTACCACAGACACAGTAATCCCTTTTCTGGAAATACACCCAAAATAAATGAAATCACCACCTACTAAACATCTATACGTCCATATTGATTGTGTCATTATTTACAATAGCCAAGATAGAGATACAACACAAATGTTCATTCAAAAACAAACTGATAAACTATGGTACTGGTATATTTGCATTTTATTTATCAATGTAGTCACAAAGTCCTGCCTAGGTTCAAGAAGGAGGAAAATATTCTCTACCACTTGATGATGAGTGGCAAGGTTGTAAAAGAGCATTTGAGACTGGAAACATTGCTGTGCCTATTTTTAGAAAACATGATCTGTCACAACAATAAAATGAGACATAACTACAGATAAAATAGAGATGCATTAGGTTGGTGCAACCTACCTAGTATATTAGGTTTTTACTTTTAATAATGAAAACCACAATTATTTTTGCATCAACCTAACAGAAAACCAAAGATAATACTAAAATACAATGTCATTAAATTTGAAAACTGAAATGAAGTAGATAATTTTCTATATTATTTACCAAAATTTATTTAACATATAAAACCTAGAGTAAACCAGTAACCATTAAATAAATTAAATCTGAAATCAAATTTTTCTCTTTGAGAAATACTGAGCCAGAATTTTGTGTTATTGTTTTACACTTTAGCATGAATATGATTTTTATTTAGATTTTTTTCTTTGAAAAACACAGGGAAAAATATAAAAAAGAAACTAAAAATTACCTATAATACCACCATTTATTGAGGTATTTACAATAAAACTGAAAACGCTACCGAGCTACATTTACTTATCAAATCCCATCCCTTAGAAGAACCACCATGAATCACTGGCTTACATTCTTCCAAAGTTCCCATTAGATTATCTTTGAAATCGTCAAGTTTGTCAGTTTTTTCTGCTACAAACAATTTCGTTCTCCTCCACAGTATTTTATTTTTTTCATACAAATATTTTACTTGTTCAGAGATGAGAGTCATAGCTGCCAGATGATTTTAAATCATAAAATTAAAATTGTAACATTACATAGTAAGTGTAATATTGGATGTTAAATGCATGCTCCCCAAAACTGTGGTTCTGTGAGCCAGAATCTTATAGATAATTTTTACCAAACTTTCAAAAGATAGCTAATCCTTACTTTACTCAAGTGAATTCAGAGGATAGAAAAAAATTACTCAATCCTTTCAAAAGGCTACTCTAACCTTTATATCAAAGACAAAAATAACTATACCATATTATAAAATTACTGAAAATAATTAATAAAATATTATCAAATTGAATTTTGTAGGATTTATCCTTGGAATCCAAGGATGGTATTGAAAAAAATCCACCATGGTTAAGATATCAATAAAAAAGAAAAAAAAAATGAGGAAACTGTGATAAATTATAGGTAATAAAATATTATTCCCTAAAAAAGAATAAGATTTTGCCACTTACTACAACATGGAGCGCCTGATGAATATTATGCTAAGTGAAATAAGCCAGACACAGAAAAAAATATATTACATGATCTCGTTTATATGTGGAATCTAAAAAAAAGTTAAAAGGATACAAAGTAGCAGATATATAGGAAGAACAAGTTTGGTGCTCTAATGTGTAACATTATGACTTTAGGTAAAAAAATTGTATTGTATATGGGACTTATGCTAAAGGAATAGGTTTTAGCTGCTCTTTCCACAAAAGCAAAAACAAAAATGAGTAACTCTGAGGGGATGGATATGTTAATTAGCTTCACTCTATTAACCTTCTTACTGTCGATATGTATCCCATAACATCATGTTGTATACCTTAAATATACACAATAAAATTTATTGGAAAAAAAACTTATGATTTTTCTCAAACAGCCAAGAAAGAGTAATTTATACACACTCTATTATAATGTTGTTCATTAGTATTATTGATTTTAAATTTGGTAACTGAACTGTGATAATTATGGACTAATCAAAGGATCTTATTCAGTGATTAGGCCAAGTACCAAAGAGTTTATCTATTTTAATGGTTATTGATTAAGACATACATTTGTATATATGGTGAAAATTCAAAATTATGACTTTAGATTTTTTTTGGCTGCTGTGCCTTTTTGGTCTTGTATGAATACACAGTAGAGCTATTGGTAGATAATCTAATTAATCCGTCTCATACCTCAATATCAATATCTCACACACACACACACACACACACACACACACACAAACACACATAATGCAAACAGCAGAGATTTATTTATTGAACATTTCAGGTGTTCTCACATTGGAATTAATTAGCATTTTTAGGAGGAAATATGAGTTTCAATGGTATTTTATAATATTTAAACACTCTGTCAAAAGAGTCAAATCTCTCAAGTTTTGAATTGATGAGAATCAAGAATAAATATGTACTCTTATACCTCCATATATATACTCTACACTGCCTCTGCACAAAACTCCCAATTCAGATGTTGCAAACAACCAGTTGTTGAACTTAATACATTGAAGAAATGTGCATTAATTTATTTTAAACGCTATCCTATGTGTGAGTAGAAGAGTGTAAAGAAGGATATGAACAAGAAATCAGCAACCATTTGCCAGAAACTAGACCTTAAGTCAATGCACCTAAAACATTTAGTCTGGTTTCTATGTAACTGATATGTAAAGAAGAGGGAATAGGAAGAGAGCACAATGCTTCTACTCAAATTGTGGGCTCGCCAATGTTACAGAATAAGTCCTACTTCTCTTTTCTCCTCAGAGACAGACTTAAGAAAGAGTCAGCAGAGGTATTCAAAAGGGCTCACGTTTCTATTTCGGCCCCGCAAAATCTATACAATCAACTGCTTCTCTTGTGTTGTATTTGAATGTCGCCTCAAAAATTCCTTTGTGATTTTGATCCCATTAGAATCCGTGTTTATTTTCTTGAAAGTAAATAAAATTTACATCAAATGGAATATCAGAATATTATTAATTTCACTGAATCAATCAACAAATTGATAATAATTTAATTTATTCCATTGTTACATGTCCTAGAAAGATTTTTAAAGGTCACGCTTACCACATTATAAATGGTATCTATGGTACCTGGTAAGAATAAGAAACATGTTTAAAGATCACTAGAGCTCAGGTTTTTAGATGTTTATTCTTGCAATATTTCTTTTTTTATTATTATTATACTTTAAGGTCTGGGGTAATGTGCACAATGTGCAGGTTTGCTACATAGGTTGACTGGTGCAGCAAATCAATATTCTTGCAATATTTCGAATGCACTATACTTTCTTACAGAATGAATGTTTAATTTCATAACTTGTTTATTTGACACCATAATTCAACCAAATCATATGACAAAGAAAAAACATTTAGATTTGACAAAAGTGATCTTCAGCAAAGCCAAGAATGAATTTACTCTACTGCTACATCATTACTTAGTAATAAAACTGAGCATTTTTCACTTATTTTAGGATTTTCCAGTATCTTGTTATGGAATACATGTGGGGCTCTTCTGTTATGCCAAAATGTTAAGGATAATTATTTTTCTCAGCATCTTAAAATTAATTGCCAGCAAACTTCATTTATTACCTCCTTCTAACCCTCACTAATTGTTTGGCCATGGAGAAAAATGCAACACAGCTGACAGATTGACACTGTAGTTGTAGAAGCATATGAAGATTCACATCTGGGAACTTTATGATTGTCAATAATTTCTTCCTCTAATCAACGTATATTTAACTTTCCACTAATGACATAATTACTGACTAAGTCTATTTGGGATATACAATAATTTAAGTCAGCTGCTAGACTTCTAGAAGCCTTCATTTTAGAAAATCACGTCAAGCCATGTTCTTGAATTAGTACAAAAAAAGACAATTGAAGTTGTATGTTATCTGGCTGATAACAAAAGGTATTTCAGAAATTTAGAGCTATTTTGGGGGTATCTTTTTCACTTCAGAGGAATAAAAGAACATTGAAAATGCAGGGATGAAAGTTTTTCTACATATGTATGATTGTATTAAGCAAAGGTGAATAGAGAAGACATTTTAGAAACATACGAAGATAAGTGCTAGGTGCAATATCAGCAAAGTATCTTAGGATACTACAAACAGTACACTAGGGCCAGATGAGAGTATAAGTTTTGAAGAGTAGGAAAAAATAGACTAAATACAGATTGCTTTCTTAGGTAGCATTAAGGAACGCTTATGAAATGCTTTTGAGCAGGGAAATAGTAAAGTCACTGATGCTCTACTAAGTAAAGTACTTACTAGCAAAATGACATGAAGTAGAGACATATCTTGAGACTAAAAATGATCATTATTAGGAAAAATAAATGTTATGTTTGATTCAGTATTTATCTTGCCCTTAATTATTTATTAAAGGAAAATTATCATGAAATACAAATATAAAGCTTCTATGAACTTTTTTTAAATTTGAAGTTGAGACACGCACATGAATGAAATAAAAAGCCCTTAAGTTTGTCTCCCAGTGGTTATTACCCAGATTTTCTTATTTATAGGTGTACGTATTGATATAATTTTCTTCCTTGCTGAAAATAGATGGCTACTACCTTCCAAAAATGTGCCCTTTATTATTTTGAGTTAAGAAGTTATAATACATTGTACCTTTTTATTTGTAATCATTGTATTACACATCAGATGTATAAATTCTCTTTCAAAATCTAATATCTAAAGATGGTAAAAAATAACCAAAAATGGGTTATTTGCTTGTTATATATTTTCAACCACTGAAAACATGATTTTTCAAACATTAATCATACTCCAAGATCATACTTTCTAAACATGTTATTACGGAATAAGATCCAAAGTTAATTACAAATAAACACATCATGATCAAATGCTTTCTATTACTTTATTACTTCCAAGAAACAGATGAGGAAATATAAAATATGTTGTATATGATCTCTTACCTAACTTTTATAGACAATTTGAAGCTAAAAAATTATTTCTGAGAATAAACATGGAGATGTCTTCAGTAATTCCAAAGGCAAGCAGCAGTTCAAATTTAAAGAGGACCTGGGACTTTTGATTGTCTAGGGCTTTTAGACACTAGAAAACCTATTCCATATAAATTGGATTATAACAGGTTTGTGGCAAACCAAAACAAAAATAAGTCAAGAGGAATGTTTTCAAGATAAAGAGTTTATCCTTTAGGCTTTTGTTGTATGTGACTTCCCAGCATAACCTTTTGTGCCTCATTGAAGTTTTAATTTGCCTAAAGTAATATCAAAAAGTGTATTACTTTTATTACTACCTTCCTTTTTATGGTGATGAAGATGTTTTTGATGATTCCTTGATTTAGTAATTGGAAGCATAATTTCATGTGAAATGTAAATTGCTACTCTCACATAAATATACATATATCAGATTTATCCAGGATTCATATCACTTCAGAGAAGAAAGAGACAGCACAGGGTAAATGAATGAGGAGAAATGGTAATTTACCAATCAATTAACTTGGGCACATTTTTTTCATACTTATGTGAGCTCATTTTATTCCATAAATAGTTTATCAGTAATGCATTTTCTTAATTCATTTTTGCAATGGAATATAATATAATTCCATTGTGGAAAATTTGGAAATCAAAAATAAGCACAAGGAAAAAAATAAAAATAATCTACCATGTTAACATTTAGATATATCCACTATAAAAATTGGTTTATTGCCAACTCACATATGTATGTGTATTTTGAAAGTAATTCCATCAGTATAAGGAGAAGAAAATAGAATCCCAAGATCTTTGGTGTCATGTGGTGGCACACATCAGAATAGGAAGAAGCTCTGTTTCACAAGAGAGGAAAAGAATTGGGAACTTTACAAGCCATCTGGAGGAAGGAGTGGTAGGTAAGACTAGAGAGGGAAAGAAGAAAGAGAATTTCTTGGTAATATTTTAATGTTAATCTTATTGAAAATGAAAAGCAGGCTAACATTCAAAATAATGTCAACATGATGCCAAACAACATCGGGGGAAGGGAATCCTGGAGTCTGAGGTGGCCCTAAAAATGCATGCCCTCTGATAATGACTGACATTGTAGAGGGGGTACTTTGCACATGCCCATAGGTACATATTTGATACTTTAGGTATATCCATCAACTATGTATTCCCAGTCTACCAAATTACTGACCTGAGATTACAAATATTGCAAAATTTTCTTTATTATGGTTTTACATCATTAATTGTGGAGAATTTTCCCTTTGCTTTACCACACCCCCATCTAATATTGAGTATTCTCCAATGTAGTATTTCAGGTACATTCTGGAGCAAGTCTACTTTAGCCTGTCTTGTTGCCCAAGTCTTTGCTCTTCTGTCAATAACTTCTGTCCTACAACTTCTCAGATGGCTATTTTGCGACAGAGTTGTTTTTCAGTAAAGACCCTACTCCAGCCTCAGGTAGGGCACTCTCCCCTCAGAATTACAGAGAGCACGACTAAAAATGATAGTGATTGTTAACAAGATTAATTGAGAGTGTAGTACTAAGAGAAAGAAAATGCTCAAAGGAATTCAAAACTGCTACCTACACTGAGAGGCCTTGAAACCTAATAGGACTTCAGAGCACTTCTGTCATTAGGGTACTTCACCATTCTGAGTGCTTATAGCAACCCTCACAGATTGGATTCTCTTGGCAGTATAATACCTCAGAATCTAGGCCCAATCAAAATGTTCTGGAAAGAAATCTGTATGCTTATGTGTCCCAGAGTACTTGCCAATACAAATACATATTCCCCTCTGAGGCAACTCCCAACAGTATTTCTTTATCTCCCTGGATTAGAAGAAATAATTTTTTCTTAATAGTCTTAAACAGATTGACGTACAAGACATGGTCAATTTAGTTAGTCCAGACAACACTGGATATGCCAATCTGGTGCCTCATGATATTTACTCCAATGTGACAAGGAGAAAAATGCGAGGCCCATATCTCCCTCTTATCCTAGGACAGTCTCAGCTTCAGAACTTCTGTAAAGACACACTTTGATGAGAATATTAACACAATCACACACACACAAGTTCACATCACATACACAATCGTCTAAGAATGAAGGAGAATTTACAGGCAAAATCCATGGAAAGGAAGCACAGAATGGGTGATAAAATTCTAAGTTTGCAAAGTCACAATTCTACTTATATATATTTATATAATGTGTTTTATTAAAGAGATGATACAAAACATACATTTTACATTTGTAATTTTCCCCACACAATTGAATTCACACAGATGTGTGTGGAAGAATTGGCATTATATTTTCATGATAAAAGAGGTTCAATTTCAAGGTAGGCCATCTCTAAGCATAGAAAAAGTGATGCAACTTCTCATAAATTAATAATTAATAAATTACATTTTTTTTGTTTTTCACTACCATGCATCACAATGCAAAAATTTCTTTGCCATTAAGTATTTTACCTTTAATGAATGTAGAGCACATGGGTCCTTTTATTCAGCATTTTCCATCCAGTTTAAACATTGTGAACAACTTCTTAATTTGTCCCAGTGATGCAAAACCAATTCTAAGTTAAGTCCCTAGCCTTAAATTTGTTCTTTGTCAAATGATCAAGAAGGAATTAAGTGCTTTGGCTGAAGCTATCTTGCTGGTAGTGGAGCTTTATGTGTTGCAGTGGGAGCTTTACAATGCCTGAGCCTTCATTTTTCTCCTGAATTGATAATTTCCTTTGGAGGGTAAGTCAACATCCCAGGTAAATGCCAATGGATGAACTGAATACAAATGATGTCATTGAGATAAAAATTACCCACTCAAATCTGGGCAAGCATAAGACCTAGTAATCAGAATTTGACTCTTGATAGTCATGCCCTGAAGCAATATGCTGGTATATTGTTTACAAATTGTGAATCACATTGCAATATAAAAACTTGTAAAATATTATATATTCATTTTTGTCTTTTAAGAGATAAACATTGCATTATTCTGTAATTTAAATATGATCCATATAATAATATCTTGAAGATCTTTAAGCCTTTATGAAAACTCAAATACTTATTAAAGTTTTAAACATTTAATTCAGCATAATGTGTTATAAGAAAAAATAGAGCTCCTATTTTAACCCATAATCTAACATATATAGTTTATCACTCACATTTAAATAAATTTCATCTGTTATTTATTATGCTTATTTTATGTAATATGCTAGGCTATCAGCTTAACATAATTTATTTTTTACTATGTTAACTTAGCCAAAATACGTATGCTGCTTGTAATACTGGACCAATCATTCTCTAACATGTCTGAGTTAATCAGTAAATAGACTGTAATTCAATTTTAATTTGAGACCTGGACATGTAATTTATCATTTGATATCCATTTATACTTCATTATCTAAACATTATATCCTATAAATGTGGCATTCTTCCCCCTGTTATATACCTGAAATACGATATTAAAAGACATATTTCTTTTATGGATGCCAGTTACATGATATAAGTGCCTGTGCATGAGGGAGGCCCACTAAGTAAATTCATATAAAAAAGGTAATTTATCTAATCTTTTGTAACCATTTCAATTTACTTTCTTAAAATGAAAAATATTATATTGTAAACATATACACACACATACACATAACACACTCACACAACTATGGTACAACTCAGTCCTAATATTAAAGAGATTATAGCTGTCATTATCTTAACTTCGATAAACTGGTCATTATTGTGTAGGCAACTTCCAGTTCTGTGGAGAATTTCTACATGCATTGAGCAAGGAAGTAGATAAGAATTATACTTTTAGAAATATGTTTTTGTCCTATGAGGGTGGCATATAAACAACTAAAGAGGGATAATTAAGAAATTATCACACGAGTAGAAGTGTAGGAGGAAAGGTGGGGTCTGCTAGCACCTTAATGATAGAAAAAGAGAGCTACGAACTGTTATCCTTGCTATTTCTCCTCTTGAAACTCAAGCTAATGGATTGTAAAGGAAGCAGCGTAGAATGTTGGTTAAGTCAGTAGAGTCAATTTGCTGAGATACAAAACCTGGCTTCACCTTTCGTGATGCGAGTGACCTTGAGACCTTTCCTTAATTTCTATTAGTCTAACTCTATGTCTTCCACTTTGAAAATGGAGATTAAAAAGTTATTTACTCTTAGGACTACTAAGACGACTATATAAATGCCTATTATTATATGTAAATAGCACAGCAACAGATGACAAAGCAGAAATTCCACTGGTCAAAATAAACAGGCAAGTAAGATTTGCTAAAATCTATTGCAGTAGGGGAGAAAGGGCAGAATGGAGTCTGAACTTAACTCCACTGAAACAAATAGTGGAGTATATTTAAGAGCCTGAATCAGAAGGATCATAGGCCATCTGTATTTCCTAATTAGCTTTACCCAAAGGAAAAGTAAACTTCCTTTTAACGTTGTAACTGGATGTAGTTTGTACACCTTGAAGGCAGGAATCCACTGAAGTTTGGCCCTTACCCTCTCACAGAGACTGGGAAACAGGAGTGCTAGCTTTCTTAATGGTTACATTTCAAAAGGATCATTCACAGGTCCTTGAGAAAGACAGGTCTGAGTTGTAACATTAGCAAGAGGCATTTAAAAAGATTTATATCTCAAAGGAGCAGAGAAACAATTTACAAGTTTTCTATAGTAAATGCTCTAAGCAAAGGGACCTCATTGGTTAGACCAGCTATAAAAACAGAAGTGAAAGAGAGGTCAGGGCAGAAGCCTGTCTAAATCTTTAACATTTTTCTTAGCCAAGAGAATTGTTAAAGCTCTCTTGTTCACAAGTAATTAGTAGGCACCTGATAAATGTAGATCGTTATGATTGTTACTATTGTTAATACTAGGTGTTGTTGATATTAATACTGGTATCAATAATAAGAAAACGAGGCCTTTATGTGGCATATTATTTCTGGAATATAAATTGATTTATCAGATTTGTTTCTATCTATACACCTGAATCTTTTACAAGAAGGTCTCTTCTATCAGTCAAAGTTCTAAATTGTATTAATCCTTGAAAATGAAGCTTAACTACTACTATGTACTGGACTGCATTCCTTCAAAATTCACATGTTAAACCGAAGGCTCCCAGTGTGATGTATTTAGTGATGGGCCACTTTGGGAGGTAATCTGGTGTAAATGAAAACATGGGATTGGAAATATTTTCACATGGGATTACTTCTCTTAGAAGAAGAGAAAGCAAACACATTGCTCACTTCATCTCTCTATGCCATATGAGTACATAGCAAGGAGGTGACAGTCTCCAGTCCAGGAAGAGGAAACATACAAAACGAGATCATGCTGGCATCCTGATTTCTAATTTCCAGGCTTCAAAACAGTAATACAATAAATTTATGCTGTTTATGCCATACAGTCTGGTATATTTTTTTTATGGCAGCTGAAGCAAACTAATACAACTACCAATTCTTGCAAAGCCTTTTCCAATCTTCTCAAATATAAACCAAATACTATTAATGCTGTTAATGGCATTGTTATAAGAATCAGTAAAAACAATGGTAAAGACTAGCACTTACTAAGTACTCACTATGTCCATACCAGGCACTGTTTTAAGCACTTTGTAGCCACTCCTTATTTAATCCTTACAATAACTCCCAGCTCTATGTGATGAGTATTCTTATTATGTCCAAACTGCAATTTAGAAACAGAGGTACGAAGTAGTTTAGCAATATACTATGTGGAATGTTTTTATTCCTATAAATTTCCCGATGTTGATTGCCTTATATTATTACTGCTATGGACATATGTTTGCTACCCAAGCAGACTTTAAGCTACTAGAGGCTTATTTCCAGATATAATTTATTTTGAATATTTTCAATAGTTGACAATAGTATGACAAGACAACATAAATATGCATATCAAAATATTTGGAGATGACTCAGAGAATCTTAATGGAAAAGATTTAGGATTCAGAGAACTGTCACCAAAGGGCATACAGAGTAATGAAAAAACATCACCTGGTCAGTGTTGTTGCTCTTGATAAGGTTGTCAAATTTTACATGCTATATCTCCAGTTATTTGAAATTTTCTTGAGGCTATTAGAATAACAGAGAGAACCATAGTCCTATTCAAAGCAGTGCAAAATATACAAATTATTTAAAGGCATTTTGTAACTATTTTATTTTCAGATATGGCATTAAAGTGTAAAGACTCAGAAACAATCAAATGAAAATAGCACATTATTCAGTCAATGCATAATAAAAATATGAAAAAATGAAATTTAAAATATCCCTGAGAAAGACAAGAGAGGTGAATCTATTTACACAATAAACAGGCAGAATTTCTCAAAAAATTATTAAAAGAAGATAAAATATTAATAATTATTTAAGAAGAAAGCAAACAATGGTGCTTAAATATCTGTGTGACTGAAAGGCACGCAGAAAACAATTTAACTATATAATACAATATACATTACCCAGAAGAATGACTAAAATGAAACAAATAGGCAATACTTGTCAAAGAAAAACATTGATGTGGAGAAATTGGGTCTTTCATATTGCTAGTGGATATGTAAATTTGAGCAAACACTATGGAAAGCATTTAGCATAATCTACTGAAGCTGAGTTAAGACATATTCTGTAAGGGGTATACACATACATTTACTTAAAATATGTATGATAATATTCATATCAAATATTTATAGTGGCTCCTAGTAAGAAACAATCTAAAAGCTTATTCTTAGTAAAATAGTTAAATCTTCTCACACATTCATACAAATGAAATTTGACAAGTCTGTTTTCAAATATTGTAGTCATTACTTACATGTAGATATTTAAATTTAAAATAGTTAAAATTAAATAGAATTAAAACCTAAGTCAGCCAGTAGGCTAGCCACATTTCCAGGGCTCAATAGATATGAGAGGCTAGTGGCTAATATATTTGACAGTGCCACATAAAAAAATGTGTATTATTGCAAAACAGTTTATTGAATGGTGATGCTATATAGCACAGAAAATGAAAGCATTAATATGTTCTTTCAAAAAAATCTCACAAAAATAATGAGCTAAAACATTCGAATTTAAAAAATGTATACTGTGTGATTATATTTATATTTAGAATACATAAAATAGGATTCTATTATTAAAAAGAGAGAATAAACTAGGCTTGATGGTACATTCCTGTAGTCCCAGCATCTTGGGAAGCTGAGGTTAGAGGATTGCTTGAGCCCAGGAGTTTGAGTCCAGCCTGGGCAATATAGCAAGACCCCATCTTTAAAGAGAAAAAACAAAGAAACAAGTCAAAAGTGACATATAGTATTATAAGTGAGGTTAGGACTTATTTATATTTTAGGATAGATTTTTGTCCAGAAGGGATATGAAAAAGTTCCTTGGGTGGTGATTGTAGTCTATTTTTCTTTTATATTTTAATAAACAGAAACAAGTAACTTAATATTTACCATCTAAACCAATTTTAAGTGTACAATTCAGCAGTATTAGATGTAGTCACATTATGAAACAGATCTCCAGAATTTTTTCATCTCTTATGTCTGAAACTCTGTAGACATTAACGTCTTTTCTCCCTTACCCAAGGCTCTGGTAACTACAAATCTACTTTCTATTTCTACTAATTTGGCTAGTTTACATATCTCATATTAGGATAATTCTGCAGTATTTGTCTTTTTGCAACTGTCTTGTTTCATGTAACAAAATGTCTTCTTGGGTCATATCCATGTTGTAGTTTGTGAAAAGATTTCCTTTGTTTTTAATACTGTATAATATTTTGTTGTTTGCATATTTTACATCTTTTACTAATTCATTTTTAGATGGACATAGGAGTTGCTTCTACCTCTTGACTATTGTGAATAATGGTGTAATAAACATGGATGTGCAAACATCCCTTGAAGACCTGTTTTAATTCTTTTGGATATAGAGCCAGAAGTGGAATAGCTGGTCATATAGCAATTCTATTTTTAATTTTTTGAAGAACTTCCATACTGTTTTTCATAGTGGTTGTAACATTGTACAATCCCATTTAACAGTGCACTACAGTTCCAACTTCTCCACATCTTCCTCAGCACTTGTTATATGGCTACCCAATTGTTATAATTTTTCTATGCAATCGTTCCACACTTTGCACTTCTCTAAAAAATCAATTGGCCACATGTACTAGGTCTTAAAAGTTATTTTATTAAATATTTCCTGGTGAAATGCTTTCATTATGAAATTATTTTTATTGTAAAAGTATTTCATAGGGTCTGCAAATGTCACCATATTATAAATGCAATTTACTTTCAAAATGTATAGAGATAGGTAAGTAGGTAATGAGGTACATGGAGATGGAGACAGAGAGATACAGACAGAAATTAAATGTGAAAAACTGTTACTGATGAATCTACGTAGGTAGATGTTTACTGTACTATTCTGTTACTTGTTCATATGTTCAGAATTTGTCAAACTAAGTAGTTGAATAAAGAGAAAAGTAAAATGAAACAAAAATGCAAAAAAATACTATGGTGATTTCACATGTAACAATCACTAACCCTTTATAAAAAGAAGAAAATAAAATTAATTTGGTAAAAAACACAAAAATGTGGTTCATAAACTTGTTAGTGTTTTAAAATTTTGGAAATGTCGTGGGGAGATTACATTAAAAATATATATATTGGCCATGTAGTCAAATGAACGTAGGTTAATATTGATTAAATATGTAAAACTTTTACATCCCAACTATTTGTTATACAGACATAAGTGTTGACTAATATTTATGTAAGCTATTTTTTCTGAGAAGCAGGGACAATTTCTTATGCATCAATTTTTTGTAATAAGATACATAATTTTAAAGCATTTTGGTTATTATTTGTGTTCATATAAGATATATTAAATCTACATTCAAGGTTTTTTTTGGCAAAAAGCATCAACACTGAAAACAGGCTATGGCTATTAAATGAATTATACTTTCACAAGAGCAGAAAAGAAAGTTTAAAATGTGTTTTATAAACACAGCTGGGTTGTCTTTTCTTTCATCAAAGTTAAGTTACAGATCATACCAGAGTTAAAAATAAATTGTTTCCTAGTTCCCTATAGATTTTCAAAGAGCTTAAATAATGACCTGAATCTTAATGACTTCCAAATTTGGCATATCTGTGTATACAAAGAACAAACTATGTTTTCCTTTTTGATTATATCTTTCTATAGTATATTGGTACTAAAATTTTAAGAAAAAATAAAAATTGTCATTTTATTGTTCCATCAGAGAACAGTGATAATATGGTTTGGCTCTATGTCCCCACCCAAATCTCATTTTGAATAATCAGATAATTCCCATGTGTTGTGAGAGGGACCCAGTGGGAGATAAGTTGAATCATGAGGGCAGTTTTCCCCATACTGTTCTCATGTAGTGAATAAGTCTCACGAGATCTCATGGGTTCATCAGGGTTTTCCACTTTTGCTTCCTCCTCATTTTTCTCTTGCTGCCACCATGTAAGAAGTGCCTTTCATCAGCAGTCATGATTCTGAGGCCTCCCCAGCCATGTGGAACCATAAGTCCAATTAAACCTTTTATTCTTCCCAGTCTTGGGTATGTCTTTATCAGCAGCATGAAAACAGACTAATACAAGTGATATTTCCATTATCTATATTTTAAAAAAACCTACCAGCCAAACATCACAAATCTCACTTATTTCATATTTCCAATGCTATGTGTTGAAGAACAATAGGAAGTTATAGGAAAACCTAAAATTGAATCATCATGATAAAAATACTAAGGAAATGTAAAATGTAAAAACTTAGCTAATTTATTTGTTAATTGTAATTATTTACTAGGGTTTATCTAGTAATCCAAATATCTATATCTAAACACTATATTGAGTAGTCAAATGTTTATAAAGATATTGTCATTGTTATAGCCTGTCAATTTTGTGTACAATTTTTTTGGCAAATTTAACATTCAACCACTTTTGTTAGCTTAGTACCAGAGTTGTCACGGGCATACAATAAATTATCATTCTGTTTAGGAAAAATATCAAAAACCAAATAAATTTATTAGAGAAATGAATGAGTGGAACAATTGGAGAAATAATGTTTTTCTGTAGTCAGATAATGTTCTATATCTTTATCTTAAGTAAGTATTAAAAGATAGCTTTGTCCAGGGGCAAATTTGTGTTTCAAGAATGGAATGAATATGAACTTGACAAGAATAATTATAGTCTATATAAGAAAAGAGAGAAAAAGTACCAAAAATGCTAAGTACAGGCACAGTAATTATAGCTAGGATATATTTTGTACTGATGTCTTTAATATTCTACACAAGTTTAAGGCATTCTTTTATTTTCAAAGATTATACTTTAAGTTCGGATGATTAAATCTAAGAAGAATAGAAATAAATTGGAAATTAATATTTTCAACAATAACTTAGTTTAGAGAACGAACACATTTATAGACCACGTAGTTTAAACGTGTTTTTAAAAAAGCTTTTGGAACAGTGGTACCAATATATAACTAAAATCACAAAAGCACTCTCATAGTATCTTAAAATATATTAAAAATTTTAGGTCATGGTATAGAAATACTCTGACATTTGATTGAATCAAAATGTCCCCATGGTCTTGATGTCCTTGTTTTTGGAGGAATAGTGTATCATATATGTAACATCATTTCCTAAAATGCTCTGATTTTTTTCAGTTAACAGATTTTATTTTTTGAGAAGGTTTAGATTCACAGTAAATTTGAACTGAAAATACAGAGAGTTCCCATGTGCCTCCTTTCCGTCTCACACAAACACAGCCCCATCCACTCAACATTCTGAATCACAGTGGAACATTGATTATAATCTGTGAAGTTGTAGAGAAACATCATAATTATTGAAAAATCAAAGTTTACATAAGAGTTCACTCTTGCAGTTTTATAGTTCATGAGTTTTGACCAGTGTATAATGGCATGTATGCCCCATTATAGTATCATACAATTGTTTCATTGCCTTAAAAATCCTCTGTATTCTTCCTGTTTATTACTCCCTGACCATAGCCCCTGGCAATCACTGATCTTTTTACTGTCTCCACTGTTTTACCTTGCCCATAATGTCATATAGACGAAATCATACAGAATGTGGCCATTTCAAATTGGCTTTTTAAAATCATTTCAGGTTTCTCCATGTCTTTACATGGCTTAGTAATGATGCAGGAGTTTTGCTCCTTAGCTCAGTTAGGTCCAGGTTCTTGTCTCACAGTCAGAAAGAATTAGGCATGTGGATATCAAAGAGTGAGTAGAGTAGAATTTATTAAGCAAAAGGAAAGCTCTCAGCAAAAAGAAGGGTCCTGAAAGCAGGTTTCCAGTTGCCCCTTTCGCAGTTGAATACCAGGGCTTCTGTGCAAAAGTCAATGAGGCTGGGCTCCTTATTTGTATATGGTGTGAATTCTTGGCAGCTCCACCCCCGTCCATCCACTGCGCATGCGGGCCCTTAGTCTGAACTCCATGTTGATTTATTTCACCTACTGCGCATGAGTTAAGGAACGGGAATTTCCCACAGCGGTCATGTTTAGCCCCTGAGCAAGTTCCTTTATCTGCACAAAACATCTGGGATAAGCACCTTGTGGGGTAGGTTGGAGGTTCTCTGGCGACCTTACTTAGTCTGCCTAAAGCAAGCTGGCTAAGTCCTTTCAGTAGCTCATTTCAAGTTCTGCATGATATACCATTATATGCATATACTACAGTTTATTCACCTGCTGAACATGTTGGTTACTTCCAAGTTTTGGCAATTATAAAAAAATGCTGCTATAATCATTCATGTGCAGATTTTTCTATGAAACTATTTCTATAGCTCACTTCAATAAATACGAAAAAGCACAGCTGCTATATCAGATAAAGAAAGTAAGTTTAGTTTTGTAAAAAGCTTCCAAACTGTCTTACAAAGTGGCTATATCATTTTGCATTCCTACCAGAAATGAAAGATAGGTTTTTTATTCCAAATCCTTAATGCTTTCAGTATTTTGTATTTTTGGCATTCAAATAGGTATTGTGTGACTTCCTTTTCAAATACATTATAGTTAAATTTACATAATTGAGTAGAGAAGCAAATAATGCTGAGTATCTTGGATGTCATCTGAATTATTTGTGCCCATAATATAGCATAGAAACACTTCAGCAAAATTTTCCTATCTCTCTCCTTTTAATTTCTGTGTGATCTAAGAAGTGGGTATTTATTATTGTTTTTTAGACTTGATTACCTGAAAAATGCTTAAAATGCAGATTCTAAGGCTCTGGATCCACAATAATTTGCTTTGGTAGTTGTAGACCTTGACTTCTAATAAACATCCCCAATGACCTAGAATAAGTGACCTATCTGTAGCTTTCATATATCTACATCATTCACTCTGTAGGTATGGCCTACAAATCTGGGAGGAAGTACAGTGACAAGAGCTGAGAGAGATAGAAAGAATATAAGGGAGATTGGTGAAGATTATCCTAAACAGGTGAAAGATGTAAACATTCTATACTCCTGGACAGTGAGGAAGTTTTAGGATTAGATTAGTAAACTTACAAAAATACTTTCTACTTCAGACATTTAGATTTGGGAAGAAAAAAACAAATCTTTCTGGTTTCTTCTAAAATGTCCAATTCCAAACAAACGGATTGAATTTAAGATAGGCACTCAACACCAATGTTCTTTGTAGTAATAATTATTGTACAACTGTCAACAAAAAGAGTCAAACTCTGTAAAATATTTGGAGATTTATTATGAGCCAAATATGAGTGACCAATGGCCCCTGACACAGCCTTCAGGAGATCCTGAGAACATGGGCCCAATGAAGTCCAGCTAAAACTTGGTTTTATACATTTTAGGGAGACATAAGACATCAATCAATACATGTAAGACGAACATTGGTTTGAGCCAGAAAGCTGGGACACTGAAAGTAGGGGCTTCCAGGTCATAGGTAGATTAAAACATTTTCTGATTGGCAGTTGGCTGAAAGAGTTATGTTATTGTTGAAACACTCAGAATCAATAGAAAGGAATGTCTGGGTTAAGATAAGAGGTTGTGAAGACCAAGGATTTATCATGCAGATGAAGCCTCCAGGTAGAAAGCTTCAGAGAATAGATTGTAAAGGTTTCTTATCAAACCTAAAGAGTTTGCTGTATCTATTTTAAGTGTGTGTTCATGTTCATGCTAATCAGGTGGGCCTGAATTCCAAAAGAAAGGAGAGTATAATATAATGAGGCACGTCTGACTCCTCATTCCCGTCATGGCCTGAACTGTTTTTCAGGTTAAGTTTGGAATGCCCCTGCTAGACAGGAGGAGTCCATTCGGATGGTCAAGGGGCTTAAAATTTTATTTTTGGTTAACGTAACTCCTAAAAAGCAAGCATAATTAATCACAAGAGTAAAAGCATGGGCAAGTAAAACAAGTATGTCAAATACCATGGTATTAGAAATGTAAATGATAAAAAGAAAAAAAGTTTTATTGTTTTGTTTCTAGACTGTATTTTAATAATATATATCTTTGTGATATTAATTTATGTTAACATGAAAACTTCTGGTGAAAAACAAGGAAAATGTAATGTAATTTCAACATTCTAAGATAAGAACTATGTGTAATTTGTAGTAGTTCCTTAAAGTATATGTGTAAACAAACAGCAGGTTAGCTGCTCACTGCTTGTAGAGTCCAATTAATAAAAGCAAGTTCTGGTATAAAAAATCATTTATTTCCAAAGCTATCTTAGGGGAAGAAATACAGATATCCTGCCATACTGCTTCACTTTTGGAGCAGAAAGCAGACACTTTTAAAAGGCAGGGGAGGAAGTGAGTAAGGGCAGGCGTCCATGCTGGTTCTGGTGCCTTGTCTACGGGGTGGTCCAGCTGACAACTGCTGGTACCTTTGTGGGTGTGCTGTTATCTCTTGAGGCAACCCCACAATAAAGTTGTAACTTGGAGCACATATGTGTATGAACTTGCCCTGTAGGGAGAGTTGGGTGGAGGGGAGGTAAAAGGCTTTATTTGCATTTTTAAAAGGCTAAGTAGGGAATCAGGGGAACAAGAAAAGAGGAGACAGAGAAAAAATGAGGGTATTGACTACATGTAAATAGAAATACAGATGTTTACTTATCTATAACTACATGTATGCATATGTATACGTTAGTTGTGTAGAAAGAGAGAGAAGTAATTTTATCATATTACATAATATGAAAATGTCTTAGGAAGAAACCACCACCATTCTCTGATAAATTCACATTACAGTGGAAATAACGGCTCTAGGTTTCCTCAAGGCAGGCTGTGATCAGAAGAAATAGCTGCCCTTCATAATAAAGGGAAGAAAGCAAGGGAGCTCTAGGCTGTCAGGAAGAACATGGGGTGGTAGAAAGGGAACATTAAAAACAGAACAGGTTGCTAAGAGGACATTTTTTACTAGTCTTGATTGGGGAGTTTTTTTCAAGAGAAATTTTGTGTTTTGTAATTAGGTCAACACTGTTGACACCACAAATTCTGAATAATAAAATTTTATAAACCAGCAATAACTTTGAAATAACGAGTAAACTTTATGCTAGCAAATTGGATATGAAGACACCAAGTTTTGTTTCCGACTAAGGCATTTTCTTCTTTGGAGAGTGTTTACTCTGTCCCTGGTTTTAAAAGACACACAAAGCAAGTCTTCTTATGTTATTAAACATTTAATTGAAATTTCTCCAACACTGACTCATGTAAATGTAACGTTGTCTTTGAAAGTCACCTGTTGGCCAATTTATCAAGCACTGTGTCCACATACTAAATTGTTATCAGGCAAGAAGTCCACCATTAATGTAATTTTGGAAACTATTATGCTTCTTCTTCTCCTCCTGCTTCTTCATTTTAGCTTTAACAAAGAGAAACTTGAATGAAAGTAAAAATGTGTGTTGAAGGGAATTCATGTGAGGGACAACTGCAAAATAAAACAAAAACTTGTTGGATTTGGAATATATCACAAGCAAGGAAGAAACCACTTAAAAAGTTTGAAAAGTATTTATAAGTCAGGAAGACTTATAAATTGATGCACTCCTTTTTCCACAAATTTTTTATGTTTAGAAGCAATAATTTTCATTAGTTCAAAGAAATAGCATACAATTAAGAATGTTTTCTTTGTAATCCAAAGAGAGCTTTTGAAAAACAATGAAAACCAGAACATTTAATTTAACAATAAAAACTTTCTGGTTTTCATTTGATATATTTAACAATAAAATTTCAATTAAAGGTTTGATAACATAAGAATAATTGTTTTGTGTGTCTTTTGAAACCAGAGACAGCACAGGCATCTCTCCAAAGCAGAATATGGATTAGTTGAAAACAAAAAATGGTGTCTCCATATACAATTTATATGTATTTAAATACATTGATTTTCAATGTATTTATGTATATTGAGTTTCTTGAGTTGAACAGAAATCTATTTAACATATCAACAGATGTCAGACATACATAGACACTGGATGTAGCTACAAATGAATTATGGCTTCTTACTCAATGCTGATTTAATGTACTGGTGTCCTGAATTGAATCATGAGGTAGCTGAAAAATGTTTTCTTGGTGTAATTAAATCTAGATATGCAGTGACAAACCCATTTCCTGAGTATTTCCCAGTAATTTCCCAGATTATCATGTATATTTAATGCACGAAAGTTCCTGTTTTTATTGAAGGGGAAAATGAATCCATATTTTCAAATTATAAAAGCAACTTAACAAATACATTTTTGTCATTACTTTTTTGAGGTTTTATTTATTTAACACTAAAAAATTGCTAGTTTTGAAGAGAAATTTTGTGTTCTGTAATTAGATCCACTCTGTTGACACTACAAATTTTGAATAATAAAATTTTATAAGCCAGCAATAACTTTGATGTGATGAGTAAATTTTATGCTAGTAAATTGTATATGAAGACATCATTTTTTATTTCTAACTAATGCATTTTCTGCTTTGGAGAGATGCCTACTCTGTCTCTGGTTTCAAAAGACACACAAAGTAATTATTTTTATGTTATTAAACCTTAATTGAAATTTTATTGTTAAATCAAATAAAAACTAGAAAGTTTTCATTGTCAAATTAAACTTTCTAGTTTTCATTATTTCTAAAAGCTCTCTTTGGATTACAAAGAAAACATTCTTAATTATATGCTATTTCTTTGAACTTATGAAACTCATTGCTTCTAAATAAGGAAAATTTGTAGAAAAGGGAGAGTATAAACTTTGAAAATCCTAGGTATTGTAGCATTACCATTTATCAGGTCTGTGATGCAGGGCAATCCAATTTTGTGAGCAAAAATTATCTCACATGTAACTATGAAGGTTTTAGTTTCTGTCTTGCTGGCATCAACATTTTGCTGTTGGTATCAACAAAGTATATTGTGAAACTTTAAGTGCAATCCACATATCCACTAATAAAGAGTGATGATTATGATGAACATGAAAATTGGTCAATTTGAATTGTACTGTCCAGCTGAAATGTTCAGGTAGTTTTATACCAGAAACACCATCTAGTTACCAAACAGATAAATCATATTAGAGAATTTTGTGTAGCCAAGTTTTTAAAAGTTAAATTGTAGGCCAGCAGTTTATATCTTGCTATGTTTATTACTAAACATTCTCAGGACATATATATACATGAATTTTGAGCTCTGCCAGTAGCTAAGATTTGGATGTTAGTTATGTCAAAAACAGGATTATTTCTTAAACTCTTTTTATTAGTTCAGAATGGATTCACTTGAATTTATGTGAGCAAGTGGTAATTACGTATCTTTTGAAATTAATCCGAAGCGTTATGTTTAAGTAAAAACGTTTAGATAAAAACTGGATTTGTATTATTATAATGAAATGAAATCAAATACATTTAGCTCTGAGTACTTCAAATGCTTTTTCCCATTACAATTTTATTTCATGTTAATGTCAATTATGTCAATAGCTTTCCTTATCCCTGGTTATTTTCGTCCCACCATTGTATCATCACAAAGGCCTTTGTAATGTACTTTTTAGTTGAATCTACCATCTTGGGCAGATTGAATTTTTTACATTTAGTTTTATTAAAATGTCAACAGTCGATAGGATTGTGATTAATGTTATTAATGTGTATCTTTCAAGAATATTTTACTAGACGTCTTCTACATTGATAGCTTGTTATTTATTTTTATAGGTTAGTATAGATGGAGCTGCCAGTCTAAATTAATTATTGGGTCAATTGGTATTAAATTAGTTTAAGAAAAAAGTTTTTCAGTTGTCATATGTCTCTCTAGGATTTGTCTGAAGTATATTATATTATAATAAAATATTTAATACATAATTCAACCTGTATTTATAGATTATGTGTAGTATTGATTGTTAAAGAAAAACGAATATTGCTAGGTATTACCTTGCCACACTATGTTTTGTTAAAGTTTCAAATTAATAACCAGTGATAAATTAGATGGAAAAATGAGAGAATTTTGATGACTATATGTTATGTGATTGGTCAATGACTATTATGCTTGGAAAAAATTCACATTAGTTATTTGGAACATATAAAGCATATTAACTTGTATTTAAAAGTAATAATTAAAAAATAATAATACTAAATAAATATTTAGTGAAGTAGCTCTCAATGTGTCTACCATTAACTTTTAGTGTGGTGGATTTTATCCTTTTTTGGAGGGGGGGCCACAACTCAAAGGAACAAATACATTTTATTTCTGTCTAGATGTATTTATGATACCAAACTGCAAACCTTTCATTGTACTATATATAGCTGTCTCATGTGCTGTATGCCATGTTTTATTTTGATTTTTTTATTTTATTATAGTTCATGATTTTTAAAAATGCTATCTGGACTCACAGTCTTAGTTCGTTTGTGCTGTTATAACAGAATACAACAGACTGGGTAATTTACAAAATATGGAAATGTATTTCTCACAGCTCTGAGGGCTGAGAAGTCCAAGATTAAAATGCCAGCAGTTTCAGTTGTCTCGTAAGGGCTGCGTCTTCTGGAGAGGAGGAATGCCTTGTCTTCATATGGCAGAAGAGCAGAAGACAGCAATCTCACATCTGCAAGCCCTTTTAATAGCATCATCAATCCATTCATGAGGGCTGTGCCTCAGCTCCCAACACTGTTGCACTGGAGATTAAATTTCCAACACAGATATTTTGAGGGACACATTCAGACTATAGCACTCACTAAATTAATTAATTAATTAATTTATTTGTTTTTGAGACAGAGTTTCCCTCTGTCACCCATGCTGGCGCTATCTCTACTCACTGCAACCTCTGCGTCCCTGCCTCAAGTGATTCTCGTGCCTCAGCCTCCCGAGTAGCTAGGATTACAGGCATGCGCCACCATGCCCTGCTAATATTTGTATTTTTAGTACAGATGGGTTTTCGCAATGTTGGCCATGCTCAAACTCCTGGCCTCAAGTGATCCGCTAGCCTTGGCCTCCCAAAGTACTAGGATTACAGGTGTGAGTCACCATGCCCGGCCCAGACTATAGCATTCACTAAATTTAATTTTCAACTCACAAAAGGTCTTATGACATGCAATTCAAAATGCATTAAATTGGTAGCATTTGGAATAAGTGTAAGGAGTTTTTTTAATGAAAGGGTACACTAGAATGAAATTGAGATGAAAATAAAACAGTTATAAGAATGGACTATGCATAATTAGTATAGATATTGTTTTGTGAATTTTTATTTCAGGTGTGTGTGTGTGTGTGTGTGTGTGTATGTTAGCATAAGCAAGGTTACATTTGGTTGTGGTTAGAAATGTGATTAATGTAACTGGAGAAAATAAAGAATCCTTAGGAAAGTACCCCATTGCCTTTCAAATGGCAATTTCCAGAAGTTTTTCAGTTCTGGTTCTGGTTATGTCAGTAACAGTGGGCAAATTAGATTACTGTTCTGGACCTAGGTGTGTCCACAAGCATAAAATTTAAAGTGATGATTAACAGGATTAAGGGGATTTATATAATTATAAATTATAGAATTGAGTGTATGTGTGTGTGTGTGTGTGTGTGTGTGTGTTTGCATGAATATACTCAGTCATGTATGTAAGTTAAGGGTTATATTGTAAAAGATATCTTAGAATTTTAATCATTGAACTTCTGTGACTGCAGTTGAACAAAACTGTAAATGATAGAGTTTAACTGGCAAGTTACTCATACAATACTACTTATACTTTAAGAGTAAAGAAACAAAACAAATTCATATAGTGATAAACAGTAATGCTGACATCTACAAGTAAGAGTTTAAAATACTTTGTAGTGAAGGAGGTATCTTACTCTGAATTAGGTAGTATGGTCACAAAAGTATTAGAAAAGAGCCAGGAAATGGTTAGCCCTTAGTCCAAGCCAAAAAGTCCTTAAAATTCAAATTTATTGTTATGAAATGTTTTCTTATTATAGTTAAAGTTTATAGGGTAACTCATAATACCTCTAAAATTTGTTCTACTCTATAATATTGTGATTCCAAATAATTAAAGTTTAGTTTAATTTTAACTATAAATGATATAGTAAAACCATTATTTGATTATTTATAAACATATGTCCCAAATTAAGCATTAATTAAATAAGTACACTGCATAAAAATATTTTTTAATCTGAAAATATGTACATGGATTTAATTTACATCATGTGTATTTTATTCCTAACAAAACTAATTCCTTTTAAATATCTTTTATAATATTTACATACTGGCCAAATTTTTTATTCCAAAATCCAGAATATAATACGAAAAAATTAATTTTTGGATGAAACAAAATGGTAGCACAACAGCTGTTTTAAGGTTATCATCCCTTCATACAGGTTATCAAGAGAGTTAACTGAAGTGATGGTTTTGTTTCTCACCTCCTTCTATGTGTAGGAGAGAACATAAATCTCACATCACCCATTCAGGCTTCTGTCTAACCTTCATACAGCTCTATCAAGACAACTCTGGTAATAAATATCTGACAACCTAAATGGAGGGAGATGTTGCAGGACCTGTCCTACCTGGAACAGAAGCACAACTTTATCAGAATACCTTTTCTTAAGTCTCAGACATTTTTTTTTTTTTTTTTGAGACGGAGTCTCGCTCTGTCGCCCAGGCTGGAGTGCAGTGGCGTGATCTTGGCTCACTGCAAGCTCCACCTCCCGGGTTCACGCCATTCTCCTGCCTCAGCCTCCCTAGTAGCTGGGACTGCAGGCACCCGCCACCACGCCGGCTAATTTTTTGTATTTTTAGTAGAGACCAGGTTTCACCGTGTTAGCCAGGATGGTCTCCATCTCCTGACCTCGTGATCCGCCCGCCTCGGCCTCCCAAATTGCTGGGATTACAGGCGTGAGCCACTGCGCCTGGCCAAGTCTCAGACAGTTTTTAGTTTAATTTTACTGAAGCAGTCTATGAATGCTGACAAGCAAAAGCAAATTGATTTGCTATGTCTGCTAACTGCTTTACTAGTATCAGCACCAAAGCCCCAATATTTATTCAGTTTTGCCTTCCATATTTCTTGTCACACTTTAATGATTTATTGTCACATTCGCCTGTACTTAATAGTGTCATTTACATGCTCCTAATAAAATATTTTCTAGATTCATCTGTCCCATACAAAAATGTAGTTGAAAGGCATGGGCTGAAAGTCTGGTAACTTAAGTTTGAACTCTTGCTTCCTAAATTTCTTGTAACCCTCCTTAATGAAGGGAAGCTATAATGAAGTTATAGCTTCATGTGTACATTTATTTAACTAATACCTGTTCAGTGTCTCTTATGCCACAACGAGGTTTTTAGGGGATACAACGATGAACAAAGTTCTAGACCTCCTGAACTTACAGGTGACCCTTAAAGCAGATTTGAAGGGAGTGGGTCCACTTATTCCTCATACACAGATTTTCTTTTGCCTCTTCCAGTCCTGAGACACTAAGACCAAACCCTCCTCTTCCCCATCCTCCTCAGACTCAATGTGAAGATGATGAGGATAAAGACCATTATCATGGCCCATTTCCACTTAATAATAGTAAATACACTTTCTCTTCCTCATGATTTTCTTAATACCATTTTCTTTCTAAATTCATTATTCACTGTTTTTTTTCAACTTTTAGAATCAGTGCATACATGTGCAGGTTTGCTACAAAGGCATATTGCATGATGCTGAAGTTTGGAGTACAAATGAATCCATCACCCAGATAGTAAGCATAATAATCAGTAGGTAGTTTTTTCAACTCTTACTCCCCTCTCCCACTTCTTGTATTCCCTAGTGTCTACTGTTCCCATTTTTATGACCATGTGTACTCAATATTTAGCTTCCACTTATAAGTGAGAACATGCAGTATTTGGTTTTCTGTCTCTGAATTAGTTTGCTTAGGCTAATGGTTTCTAGCTTTATACATGTTGCTACAAAGAACATGATTTTATTATTTTTTATGGCTGTGTAGTATTTAATGGTGTATATATACTACATTTTCTTTATCCAATTCACTGCTGATGGGCACCTGTATTGATTCCATGCCTCTGCCACTGTGAATAGTGCTGCAAAATCAATCTACAAAAATCAGTAACATTTATATACACCAATAATGTTCAAGCTAGGAGCCATGAAGAATGCAAACCCGTTTACAATAGTCACAAAAGGAATAAATACCTAAGAATATAGATAACCAAAAATGTTAAAGATGTCTACAATGAGAATTACAAAATACTACTGAAAGAAATGAGATGATGCAAATGAATGGAAAAATACCCATGCTCATGGATTGGAAGAATTAACATCAGTCAAATAGCCATACTTCCCAAAGCAATTTAGAGATTCAATGCTATTCCTATCAAACTGCCAGTGTCATTTTCCACAAAATTAGAAAAAAAATTTCTAAAATTCATATGGAACCAAAAAAGAGCCTAAATAGCCAAAGCAATCCTAAACAGAAAGCAGAAAGCCAGAAGTATCACGTCATCTAACTTCACAAAATACTACATGACTACTGCACCTAAAACAGCATGGTACTGGTAGAAAAGCAGACACATAGACCAATGAAACAGAATAGAGAAGCCAGAAATTAATAATATTTTATTTATTTATTTATTTATTTATTTATTTTGAGATGGAGTCTTGCATTGTTGACCGGGCTGGAGTTCAGTGGCGTGAGCTCGGCTCACTGCAACCTCTGCCTCCTGGGTTCAAGTGATTCTCCTGCCTCAGCCTCCTGAGTAGCTGGGATTACAGGTGCCTGCCACCACTCCCAGCTAGTTTTTTTATTTTTAGCAGAGATGGGTTTTCACCATGTTGGCAGCTCTCGAACTCCTGACCTCGTGATTAGCTCGCCTCAGCCTCCCAAAGTGCTGGGATTCCAGGCATGAGCCACCTCACCTGGCCAATATTTTATTTTATCTAGCTTACTTTATTATAAGACTATAATGTATAATACATATACAAAATATGTGATAATTGATTTTTTATGTTATTAGTGAGGATTCTGGTCTCTTGCAGGTTATTATTAGTTAAGCTTTTAGGAAGTCAAAAGTCACATGCATATTTTTGACTACGTGTGGAGTGGGAGCCCCTAAGGCTCATGTTGTTCAAGGGTCAACTATATATTTTAGAAAATGAAAAGACAATCAACAAGCAATTAATTAATACTGTAACAGCTGGTGGCATTTTTCCCTTTGAAAAAAAATATAGTAAAATGATGGAGAAGAAGAATCTGAAGTTGTTGTAAATTGAATGAACACTTCTAACATAGAAGCAAAGTCAAATATTTTTACATCTGTCTTTTTCTTATGTTTCCTAACTCATATAGAAAGGGATTTTATTCATTTGATCTGTTAGGGTGTAGATTTCTGTACTGTGCTCTGTCTGTATTTATTCCAGCTTAGGTGAGCTCTGATACTTATTTCTCTAAGCTTTAGAGTTTGTTGAAAGAAAAAGTTTACCTGGAATTAGTGATCTTTAAAAATTATCTACTATCAATTGCTGAAAGATTCTGTTTTTTTCTAGCATTCTTTTCTAAATGGCTTCTTCTCACATTTGAAAGGGTATTAACTAAACTGATGTTGATTCCTAGCATATAGATTATTTTCCTATTTGAAAGTGAAAAAAACCAAGATGCAAAAAAGAATAACAGTTAATAAGTGTAGGAACTCAAATTTGATTCACAATTTGTGTAAATCCAAAGCTTACCACAAATACACCACTTCACTACATAATCCTACAGAGTCATTCTTCTTAGAGTCCACTAAATAGGTTTTTAAAAAATTGCTTATATATATTGTTGTCTTTTAAATAATCACAGTTCATATTTCTAATATGTTTGTGTGAAGGTTGTTGTAAAATAAATAATATTCCAGGCACAGGTGACCTTACAAAAGCAGCATTTTGAACTCTGTTTTTATATAGGTGTGCTTCAGTGGGTTTTATATAAGCCACTTGAGTGTAGTGATATTTTTCCAAATGTTTGAAAAACATCTGAAACTC
The DNA here is from genome assembly GCF_000001405.40 of Homo sapiens. Lineage (NCBI taxonomy): Eukaryota > Metazoa > Chordata > Mammalia > Primates > Hominidae > Homo > Homo sapiens. The sequence goes on from NC_000010.11 coordinate 56,047,653, forward strand.
CAGTTCAATCAGTACTTCAATAAATACGTAGCATTGACTAAGTCAACAAGTCTCAGTTACGGATCTCACTTTGACATTACCTATCCTTCTACCTTATTCCTTAAAACATGTTTTCCTTTACATTTGTCTTTTTCATGAGAGTAAAGGGATTGAAATTTTAAAAGTGTGTGTGCATATACACATTTAACACAAAAAATGCTTGGTTGTCAATACATCTTTTAAAAATGATTTTATTTTCTCAATGAGATTTTATTGAAGAGAAATGTAGAGGGGAGGAATATTTATTTGTCTGCTAAAAGAACACAGAGCACTGGCATAAGACCCATTGACATAATCTGGTTGTTCAACTTGGGCAAAAACACTGCATTCAATCATTCAACATTCTCTATGACTTCCATTATCCGGTTTACTAGAACGTTGTAAGTGTCTCCATTCAGCAATATATTGTAAAAAGTCTGGGAGGAATGAGTTAAATAAAAATTCATACAAACAAATGGAAACTTTTTTATGTTATAAACTGAGTTTAGAAAAGGGGATTATTTTGCATTTTCAAATTAAATTGACACAAATCAGAAATAAATTCTTAATAATTATTTCAAGGATTAAGACAACTTTCTGCTCAGATGAAGCAGAGAGAGAGCTGAACCATTGAGAGGACTCCCTAGTTCCTTTTTTTTTCCTGCATTTGACATGTGCTTGCTGGTCAAGAATAAAAGATAAATCTGTAAGTGAGGCTATAGGGTTATTACCTCACAGGCCAAGTGATACATTTAGGCTCTGAAGCATCTCAAATTTTTCAGCCCCAGAGACTTGTATAGCTTACTTGACATTCTCCAGGGAGAAATGCCTCATAGATCCATGGATTCTTAGTTTATTTACTGTAAGTAATCCTTTGCCAGGGATATAGTGATAGGAGAATTTTATAGATAAAGGTTCTTCCTGCTAAGAAATATCATTAGTATGTTTACCTAGAGGACCATTTGGTAAGAGGATTGGAACAGTTCCTACTCTTTTTCTTTCCCCCAAGACATCCTCCCAGTAAAGACAGTGAATAGGTAACAAGCCAGTCACTTTAATTCTCTCCATTCCATGTATAATGAAGGAGAAAGATGGATATGATTATTGACCCACATTTTTAAAAAACAATATTCAAAGTTTTCTTTATTTAGTATTTGTTTATTGACCGAACAGCTAGGGTACTGGGAAAAATACATAAAACAATTATCATAAAGCATTAGACTGTAGGAAGCATAGGACTATGGTTTTTAAGCAAAGAGAAACACATGGTACGAGTTTTATGACCATCCCAGGGAGCTTCCTAGAGCCACATCAGGTTAATAACAAAAGGAGAGGGATACCAAGAAGAGCACAGTGGTCTGTCTGGGTTAAGAAGAGAAATTAAATTCCATGAGGTTTATGGTTAAGTCTTTAATCCATTTGGAGTTGTTTAGTATACAGTGTGAGATAAGGTCCAATGTTATTCTTCTGAATGGGAATATCCATTTTTAGCAACATGATTTATTGAAGAGACTGCCCTTTCCCCATGTAAAAAATAATTTCTGAGATTTCTATTCTCTTCTATTTCTATTTCTATCTATTCTATCTCTATTCTGTTCTGTTCTATCTGGGATTCTGTTCTGTTAGCCTGCATGTCTGGTTGTATACCAATACCATGTTGTTTTGACTACAATAGCTTTGTAGTATACTCTGAAATCAGGTAGTGTGATGTCTTCAGCTTTGTCCCTTTTGCTTCAGATTGCTATGGTTATTCAAGTCTTTTTGTGATTCTATATAAATTTTAGAATTACTTTTACCAATGTCTGTGAAAATTGTTAGTGGAATATGATAGGGGTTACATATGATCTAACACTGTAAAACTACTAAAAGAAAACTTCATGATATTGGTCTGGGCAATTGATATTTTGAATATGACCTTGTGAGGGCCAAGGTCCTTGGACCCCTAAAGGTTTCTTGAAAATTACTGATATGAGGGAAATTGAATAATAGGAGAAAAGGGATATAACTTTAGTTAATGTGTACATACAGGAAGCATCTTTTTAATGAGTTATAGAAATTTATATTTCATTTTGAGGTTACAGAAAGAATGGGGGCTTGGATCCTTAAAAATATGTTATGGGAGGAGGTAGAAGAGGAATGTTATTGAGGGGCAATAAATGGTTACTATGGAGAATGAATGGATCCATGGCTCTGAAAACAGACATCAACTTGTTAATAGTTTTCTTTGGAGTTTAAATTATCCTTGGAGATATTCATTATATTTGTAAAAGAATCTGTTTAGGTGTGAGGGTCACATTTTTGTCTTTTTCCCCTCCCCCCTCCAAGAAGATAGAACAACTTTTCTTTTTGGTACATATGGATCTTAGACAGATAAAGGAATTTTAACTTCTATGGGAGAAAAGATGGGGGATGTCAGAAAGACTTTGAAGTATTTTTAGTTCAGTATGTCAAAGTGCCATATTTGGGAGAATTGAATTCTGAACCCCAACAACCTCAAAATACAAGCAACAAAGAGAAAGTAGACAAATAGGTTTATATCAAACTAAAAATCTTGCACAGTAAAGGAAACAATTCTGTTGGTATATAGGTCTGTAGAAAAAGACAACTTGTGGAAAAAGAAAATAATTGCAAACTGTAATCTGATAAGAAATTAAAATCCAAAATATATAAGGAACTTAAGCAACTCAATAGCAAGAAAACAAACAATTAAAACATTGACCAAGAATTTGAATAAGTATTTCTCAAAATAAGACATACAAATGACCTGGAAGTATGTGAAAAACTGCTGAATTTCACTAATCATCAGGAAAATGAAAATTAAAACCACATATCACATCCCACTTGTTAGAATGGTTATTATCAAATAGATGAATGATAACAAAGGTTGGCAAGGATGTGTAGAAAAGGGATCACTTGTACATTCTTGATGAGAATATAAGCTATTACAGCCATTATAGGAAACAGTGGGTTCCTCAAAATATCAAAAATAGAGCAACTATATGATACAAGGATCATACTTCTGTCTATATAATCAAAAGAAATGAAATCAGTAAGTCAAAGAGATATTTGTAATCCTATTGCTGACCACAGGTTCTTGGGCTCTCAATGTAATAGAAATTGACATGAGATCAAAAGAGTTTTCCTAGACAAGGCTTTATTGGACCTTATACCTGGGCATGAGGGCAGGTAGCACAAGGGAGAATTTTCTGGCTGGCTCCGAGAGATAGTCAGGAGAGTAATTTTTAAGGGACTAAAGAGGAAAGGGAGTAACTTTTAAGCAAGTAGAGGTGGGGAACTTCTGGTAACTGCACAGTTTGGTTACATAGGTTTAAATGTGTCACATTTCTGATCAGCATGTTAAATCTCCACCCTCAAATGTGATCTGAGTATTATAATGAAGTTCAAGTGAAGGACTGATCATTCTTCTGATCTTGTATGCATTTCGGAGATAAGATTATCTCCCTTGAGTAAGATTTACAGTGAGAGTTGTTTATTTTAGCTTCCTCAAGGTCTTGCAATCAGTAGGTATGATGGCTTGAGCAAGATTTGTAGTGCAAGATCTAGAAGGTCTGGTTGAGGACCCCCACAGGGCTCTCCTCTCCACGAGCTTGCAATAGAGGGGAGGGGGTGTGAGTCCTATCCCTACTCTGTCTCACTATTATATTTATTGAAGCATTATTCACAATAGCCAAGATATGGAATTAACTTAGGTGTCCATTAAAGAATGAATAGATCGAGAAAACATGATGTATATATGCAATGCAATATCATTTAGACATAAAAAATAAAATCATGTTATTTGCAACAACATGGATGAATCTGGAGGACATTATGTTAAGGAAATAAACCAGACACATAAATATGAATACCACATGATCTCACTTATATGTAGAATATGAAAGACTTGAACTAATAGAAGCAGGGAGCAGTATGGTGAATACCAGGAGCTGGCAGCAGGAAAAGATTGGGGAGATGTTGGTCAAAGAATGCAAAGTTTCAGTTAGACAGAAAAAATAAGTTCAAGAGATCCATTGTACAATATAGTGACCATAGTCACTATTTTTTGTATTGAGGACTAAATTCTGATTTTTTATCTTGCCCAAATTCCTGTCTAAGGAGTCTGAGAAGTCATGCCCTACAAACCATAAGTTTTCATCAGATGGGTTTTATTTAACCCTGTATACCATGACTTAACTTTCCAGCCTGACTCTGGCATAACATTATGAGACAAGGAAGAAAATCTAAATATTTTACCCCAATAACATCACATTTTGAAATGGTCCTGCAAGCTGACCTTTGTAGGGGGAAATTCACATCTGTAAAGAATCCCTATTAACATAGCTAGACCTTTTCCTTCCAGGCCCCTTCAATTCTAAATAGATTTAGAGTCTAGCACCTTATAAAGGGTCTGAATAGGAAACATTTGCCATCTATTTTTTCTAAGGGCAGCCACTATGAGGCTTCAAAAGAACCTTGTCTCCATAATCTTCTATCTTAACCTGAACATTTCCTTTCT